>NC_000002.12:93694776-93921714 GCF_000001405.40 Homo sapiens
TCTGTGTAGTTTTTATGGGAAGATACTTCCTTTTTCACCGTAAGCATCAAAGCGCTCCAAGTGTCCACATCAAGATACTACAGAAAGAGTGTTTCTGGGATTGTAAAGTAGTTCAACCATTGTGGAAGTCAGTGTGGCGATTCCTCAGGGATCTAGAACTAGAAATACCATTTGACCCAGCCATCCCATTACTGGGTATATACCCAAAGGACTATAAATCATGGTGCTATAAAGACACATGCACACGTATGTTTATTGCGGCACTATTCACAATAGCAAAGACTTGGAACCAGCCCAAATGTCCAACAATGATAGACTGGATTAAGGAAATGTGGCCCATATACACCATGGAATACTATGCAGCCATAAAAAATGATGTGTTCATATCATTTGTAGGGACATGGATGAAATTGGAAAATATCATTCTCAGTAAACTATCGCAAGAACAAAAAACGAAACACCGCATATTCTCACTCATAGGTGGGAATTGAACAATGAGATCACATGGACACAGGAAGGGGAATGTCACACTCTGGGGAATGTGGTGGGGTCGGGGGATGGAGGGAGGGATAGCATTGGGAGATATGCCTAATGCTAGATGACACATTAGTGGGTGCAGCGCACCAGCATGGCAGATGTATACATATGTAACTAACCTGCACAATGTGCACATGTACCCTAAGCTTAGAGTATAATAAAAAAAAAAAAAGCATTCTCAGAAACTTATTTGTGATGTGCGCCCTCAACTAACAGTGCTGAAGCATTCTTTTGATAGAGCAGTTTTGAAACACTGTTTTTGTGGAATCTGGAAGTGGATATTTGTCTAGCTTTGAGGATTTCGTTGGAAACGGGATTACATATAAAAAGCAGACAGCAGCATTCTCAGAAACTTATTTGTGATGTGCGCCCTCAACTAACAGTGTTGAAGCTTTCTTTTGATAGAGCAGTTTTGAAACGCTCTTTTTGTAATATCTGCAAGAGGATATTTGGATAGCTTTGAGGATTTCGTTGGAAACGGGATTGTCTTCATATAAACTCTAGACAGAAGCATTCTCAGAAGCTTCATTGGGATGTTTCAATTGAAGTCACAGTGTTGAACAGTCCCTTTCATAGAGCAGGTTTGAAACACTCTTTTTGTAGTATCTGGAAGTGGACATTTGGAGAGATCTCAGGAATACGGTGATAAAGGAAATATCTTCCAATAAAAGCTAGATAGAAGCAATGTCAGAAACTTTTTCATGATGTATCTACTCAGCTAACAGAGTTGAACCTTTCCTTTGAGAGAGCAGTTTTGAAACACTCTTTTTGTGGAATCTGGAAGTGGATATTTGTCTAGCTTTGAGGATTTCGTTGGAAACGGGATTACATATAAAAAGCAGACAGCAGCATTCCCAGTAACTTCTTTGTGATGTTTGCATTCAAGTCACAGAGTTCAGCATTCCCTTTCATAGAGCAGGTTTGAAACACTCTTTTTGTAGTATCTGGATGTGGACATTTGGAGCGCTTTCAGGCCTATGGTGAAAAAGGAAATATGTTCCCCTGAAAACTAGACAGAAGCATTCTCAGAATCTTATTTGTGATGTGCGCCCTCAACTAACAGTGTTGAAGCTTTCTTTTGATAGAGCAGTTTTGAAACACTCTTTTTGTAAAATCTGCAAGAGGATATTTGGATAGCTTTGAGGATTTCGTTGGAAACGGGATTGTCTTCATATAAACTCTAGACAGAAGCATTCTCAGAAGCATCATGGGGATGTTTCAATTGAAGTCACAATGTTGAACAGTCCCTTTCATAGAGCAGGATTGAAACACTCTTTTTGTAGTATCTGGATGTGGACATTTGAGCGCTTTCAGGCCTATGGTTTAAAAGGAAATATCTTCCCCTGAAAACTAGACAGAAGCATTCTCAGAAACTTATTTGTGATGTGCGCCCTCAACTAACAGTGTTGAAGCTTTCTTTTGATAGAGCAGTTTTGAAACACTCTTTTTGTGGAATCTGCAAGTGGATATTTGTCTAGCTTTGAGGATTTCGTTGGAAACGGGATTATATAAAAAGCAGACAGCAGCATTCTCAGCAAACTTATTTGTGATGTGCGCCCTCAACTAACAGTGTGGAACTTTTCTTTTGATAGAGCAGTTTTGAAACACTCTTTTTGTAAAATCTGCAAGAGGATATTTGGATAGCTTTGAGGATTTCGTTGGAAACGGGATTGTCTTCATATAGAATCTAGACAGAAGCATTCTCAGAAGCTTCATTGGGATGTTTCAATTGAAGTCACAGTGTTGAACAGTTCCTTTCATAGAACAGGTTTGAAACCCTCTTTTTGTAGTATCTGGAAGTGGACATTTGGAGCGCTCTCAGGACTATGGTGAAAAAGGAAATATCTTCCAATAAAAGCTACATAGAAGCAATGTCAGAAACTTTTTCATGATGTATCTACTCAGCTAACAGAGTTGAACCTTTCCTTTGAGAGAGCAGTTTTGAAACACTCTTTTTGTGGAATCTGCAAGTGGATGTTTGTCTAGCTTTGAGGATTTCGTTGGAAACGGGTTTACATATAAAAAGCAGACAGCAGCATTCCCAGAATCTTGTTTGTGATGTTTGCATTCAAGTCACAGAGTTGAACATTCCCTTTCAGAGAGCAGGTTTGAAACACTCTTTTTATAGTATCTGGATGTGGACATTTGGAGCGCTTTCAGGCCTATGGTGAAAAAGGAAATATCTTCTCCTGAAAACTAGACAGAAGCATTCTCAGAATCTTATTTGTGATGTGCGCCCTCAACTAACAGTGTTGAAGCTTTCTTTTGATAGAGCAGTTTTGAAACACTCTTTTTGTAAAATCTGCAAGAGGATATTTGGATAGCTTTGAGGATTTCGTTGGAAACGGGATTGTCTTCATATAAACTCTAGACAGAAGCATTCTCAGAAGCTTCATTGGGATGTTTCAATTGAAGTCACAGTGTTGAACAGTCCCTTTCATAGAGCAGGTTTGAAACACTCTTTTTGTAGTATCTGGAAGTGGACATTTGGAGAGATCTCAGGAATACGGTGATAAAGGAAATATCTTCCAATAAAAGCTAGATAAAGCATTCTCAGAAACTTATTTGTGATGTGCGCCCTCAACTAACAGTGTTGAAGCTTTCTTTTGATAGAGCAGTTTTGAAACACTCTTTTTGTGGAATCTGCAAGTGGATATTTGTCTAGCTTTGAGGATTTCGTTGGAAACGGGATTACATATAAAAAGCAGACAGCAGCATTCTCAGTAAACTTATTTGTGATGTGCGCCCTCAACTAACAGTGTTGAACCTTTCTTTTGATAGAGCAGTTTTGAAACACTCTTTTTGTAATATCTGCAAGAGGATATTTGGATAGCTTTGAGGATTTCGTTGGAAACGGGATTGTCTTCATATAAACTCTAGACAGAAGCATTCTCAGAAGCTTCATTGGGATGTTTCAATTGAAGTCACAGTGTTGAACAGTCCCTTTCATAGAGCAGGTTTGAAACACTCTTTTTGTAGTATCTGGAAGTGGACATTTGGAGCGCTCTCAGGACTACGGTGAAAAAGGAAATATCTTCCAAATAAAGCTAGATAGAAGCAATGTCAGAAAATTTTTCATGATGTATCTACTCAGCTAACAGGGTTGAACCTTTCTTTTGAGAGAGCAGTTTTGAAACACTCTTTTTGTGGAATCTGCAAGTGGATATTTGTCTAGCTTTGAGGATTGCGTTGGAAACATGATTACATATAAAAAGCAGACAGCAGCATTCCCAGAAACTTCTTTGTGATATTTGCATTCAAGTCACAGACTTGAACTTTCCCTTCCATAGAGCGGGTTTGAAACACTCTTTTTGTAGTATCTGGATGTGGACATTTGGAGCGCTTTCAGGCCTATGGTGAAAAAGGAAATATCTTCCCCTGAAAACTAGACAGTAGCATTCTCAGAAACTTATTTGTGATGTGCGCCCTCAACTAACACTGTTGAACCTTTCTTTTGATAGAGCAGTTTTGAAACACTCTTTTTGTAATATCTGCAAGAGGATATTTGGATAGCTTTGAGGATTTCGTTGGAAACGGGATTGTCTTCATATAAACTCTAGACAGAAGCATTCTCAGAAGCTTCATTGGGATGTTTCAATTGAAGTCACAGTGTTGAACAGTCCCTTTGATAGAGCAGGTTTGAAACACTCTTTTTGTAGTATCTGGATGTGGACATTTGCAGCGCTTTCAGGCATAAGGTGAAAAAGGAAATATCTTCCCCTGAAAACTAGACAGAAGCATTCTCAGAAACTTATTTGTGATGTGCGCCCTCAACTAACAGTGTTGAACCTTTCTTTTGATAGAGCAGTTTTGAAACACTCTTTTTGTAATATCTGCAAGAGGATATTTGGATAGCTTTGAGGATTTCGTTGGAAACGGGATTACATATAAAAAGCAGACAGCAGCATTCTCAGTAAACTTATTTGTGATGTGCGCCCTCAACTAACAGTGTTGAACCTTTCTTTTGATAGAGCAGTTTTGAAACACTCTTTTTGTAATATCTGCAAGAGGATATTTGGATAGCTTTGAGGATTTCGTTGGAAACGGGATTGTCTTCATATAAACTCTAGACAGAAGCATTCTCAGAAGCTTCATTGGGATGTTTCAATTGAAGTCACAGTGTTGAACAGTTCCTTTCATAGAACAGGTTTGAAACACTCTTTTTGTAGTATCTGGAAGTGGACATTTGGAGCGCTCTCAGGACTATGGTGAAAAAGGAAATATCTTCCAATAAAAGCTACATAGAAGCAATGTCAGAAACTTTTTCATGATGTATTTACTCAGCTAAAAGAGTTGAACCTTTCTTTTGAGAGAGCAGTTTTGAAACACTCTTTTTGTGGAATCTGCAAGTGGATATTTGTCTAGCTTTGAGGATTTCGTTGGAAACAGGATTACATATAAAAAGCAGACAGCAGCATTCCCAGAAACTTCTTTGTGATGTTTGCATTCAAGTCACAGAGTTGAACATTCCCTTTCATAGAGCAGGTTTGAAACACTCTTTTTGTAGTATCTGGATGTGGACATTTGGAGCGCTTTCAGGCCTATGGTGAAAAAGGAAATATCTTCCCCTGAAAACTAGACAGAAGCATTCTCAGAATCTTATTTGTGATGTGCGCCCTCAACTAACAGTGTTGAAGCTTTCTTTTGATAGAGCAGTTTTGAAACACACTTTTTGTAAAATCTGCAAGAGGATATTTGGATAGCTATGAGGATTTCGTTGGAAACAGGATTGTCTTCATATAAACTCTAGACAGAAGCATTCTCAGAAGCTTCATTGGGATGTTTCAATTGAAGTCACAGTGTTGAACAGTCCCTTTCATAGAGCAGGTTTGAAACACTCTTTTTGTAGTATCTGGATGTGGACATTTGGAGCGCTTTCAGGCCTATGGTGAAAAAGGAAATATCTTCCCCTGAAAACTAGACAGAAGCATTCTCAGACACTTATTTGTGATGTGCGCCCTCAACTAACAGTGTTGAAGCTTTCTTTTGATAGAGCAGTTTTGAAACACTCTTTTTGTAATATCTGCAAGAGGATATTTGGATAGCTTTGAGGATTTCGTTGGAAACGGGATTAATTATAAAAAGCAGACAGCAGCATTCTCAGAAACTTATTTGTGATGTGCGCCCTCAACTAACAGTGTTGAAGCTTTCTTTTGATAGAGCAGTTTTGAGACACTCTTTTTGTACAATCTGCAAGAGGATATTTGGATAGCTTTGAGGATTTCGTTGGAAACGGGATTGTCTTCATATAAACTCTAGACAGAAACATTCTCAGAAGCTTCATTGGGATGTTTCAATTGAAGTCACAGTGTTGAACAGTCCCTTTCATAGAGCAGGTTTGAAACACTCTTTTTGTAGTATCTGGAAGTGGACATTTGGAGCGCTCTCAGGACTACGGTGAAAAAGGAAATATCTTCCAATAAAAGCTAGATAGAAGCAACGTCAGAAACTTTTTCATGATGTATCTACTCAGCTACGAGAGTTGAACATTTTTTTTGAGAGAGCAGTTTTGAAACACTCTTTTTGTGGAATCTGCAGGTGGATATTTGTCTAGCTTTCAGGATTTCGTTGGAAACGGGATTACATATAAAAAGCAGACAGCAGCATTCCCAGAAACTTCTTTGTGATGTTTGCATTCAAGTCACAGAGTTGAACATTCCCTTTCATAGAGCAGGTTTGAAACACTCTTTTTGTAGTATCTGGATTTGGACATTTGGAGCGCTTTCAGGCATATGGTGAAAAAGGAAATATATTCCACTGAAAACTAGACAGAAGCATTCTCAGAATCTTATTTGTGATGTGCGCCCTCAACTAACAGTGTTGAAGATTTCTTTTGATAGAGCAGATTTGAAACACTCTTTTTGTAAAATCTGCAAGAGGATATTTGCATAGCTTTGAGGATTTCATTGGAAACGGGATTGTCTTCAAATAAACTCTAGACAGAAGCATTCTCAGAAGCTTCATTGGGATGTTTCAATTGAAGTCACAGTGTTGAACAGTCCCTTTCATAGAGCAGGTTTGAAACACTCTTTTTGTAGTATCTGGATGTGGACATTTGGAGCGCTTTCAGGCCTATGGTGAAAAAGGAAATATCTTCCCCTGAAAACTAGACAGAAGCATTCTCAGAAACTTATTTGTGATGTGCGCCCTCAACTAACAGTGTTGAAGCTTTCTTTTGATAGAGCAGTTTTGAAACACTCTTTTTGTGGAATCTGCAAGTGGATATTTGTCTAGCTTTGAGGATTTCGTTGGAAACGGGATTACATATAAAAAGCAGACAGCAGCATTCTCAGAAACTTATTTGTGATGTGCGCCCTCAACTAACAGTGTTGAAGCTTTCTTTTGATAGAGCAGTTTTGAAACACTCTTTTTGTAATATCTGCAAGAGGATATTTGGATAGCTTTGAGGATTTCGTTGGAAACGGGATTAATTATACAAAGCAGACAGCAGCATTCTCAGAAGCTTCATTGGGATGTTTCAATTGAAGTCACAGTGTTGAACAGTCCCTTTCATAGAGCAGGTTTGAAACACTCTTTTTGTAGTATCTGGAAGTGGACATTTGGAGCGCTCTCAGGACTACGGTGAAAAAGGAAATATCTTCCAAATAAAGCTAGATAGAAGCAATGTCAGAAACTTTTTCATGATGTATCTACTCAGCTAACAGAGTTGAACCTTTCTTTTGAGAGAGCAGATTTGAAACACTCTTTTTGTGGAATCTGCAAGTGGATATTTGTCTAGCTTTGAGGATTTCGTTGGAAACGGGATTACATATAAAAAGCAGACAGCAGCATTCCCAGTAATCTTCTTTGTGATGTTTGCATTCAAGTCACAGAGTTGAACATTCCCTTTCATAGAGCAGGTTTGAAACACTCTTTTTATAGTATCTGGATGTGGACATTTGGAGCGCTTTCAGGCCTATGGTGAAAAAGGAAATATCTTCTCCTGAAAACTAGACAGAAGCATTCTCAGAAACTTATTTGTGATGTGCGCCCTCAACTAACAGTGTTGAAGCTTTCTTTTGATAGAGCAGTTTTGAAACACTCTTTTTGTAATATCTGCAAGAGGATATTTGGATAGCTTTGAGGATTTCGTTGGAAACGGGATTGTCTTCATATAAACTCTAGGCAGAAGCATTCTCAGAAGCTTCATTGGGATGTTTCAATTGAAGTCACAGTGTTGAACAGTCCCTTTCATAGAGCAGGTTTGAAACACTCTTTTTGTAGTATCTGGATGTGGACATTTGGAGCGCTTCCAGGCCTATGGTTTAAAAGGAAATATCTTCCCCTGAAAACTAGACAGAAGCATTCTCAGAAACTTATTTGTGATGTGCGCCCTCAACTAACAGTGTTGAAGCTTTCTTTTGATAGAGCAGTTTTGAAACACTCTTTTTGTAATATCTGCAAGAGGATATTTGGATAGCTTTGAGGATTTCGTTGGAAACGGGATTAATTATAAAAAGCAGACAGCAGCATTCTCAGAAACTTATTTGTGATGTGCGCCCTCAACTAACAGTGTTGAAGCTTTCTTTTGATAGAGCAGTTTTGAAACACTCTTTTTGTAATATCTGCAAGAGGATATTTGGATAGCTTTGAGGATTTCGTTGGAAACGGGATTAATTATACAAAGCAGACAGCAGCATTCTCAGAAGCTTCATTGGGATGTTTCAATTGAAGTCACAGTGTTGAACAGTCCCTTTCATAGAGCAGGTTTGAAACACTCTTTTTGTAGTATCTGGAAGTGGACATTTGGAACGCTCTCAGGACTGCGGTGAAAAAGGAAATATCTTCCAATAAAAGCTAGATAGAAGCAATGTCAGAAACTTTTTCATGATGTATCTACTCAGCTAACAGAGTTGAACCTTCCTTTGAGAGAGCAGTTTTGAAACACTCTTTTTGTGGAATCTGCAAGTGGATATTTGTCTAGCTTTGAGGATTTCGTTGGAAACGGCATTACATATAAAAAGCAGACAGCAGCATTCCCAGAAACTTCTTTGTGATGTTTGCATTCAAGTCACAGAGTTGAACATTCCCTTTCATAGAGCAGGTTTGAAACACTCTTTTTGTAGTACCTGGATGTGGACATTTGGAGCGCTTTCAGGCCTATGGTGAAAAAGGAAATATCTTCCCCTGAAAACTAGACAGAAGTATTCTCAGAAACTTATTTGTGATGTGCGCCCTCAACTAACAGTGTTGAAGTTTTCTTTTGATAGATCAGTTTTGAAACATTCTTTTTGTAAAATCTGCAAGAGGATATTTGGATAGCTTTGAGGATTTCGTTGGAAACGGGATTGTCTTCATATTAACCCTAGACAGTAGCATTCTCAGAAGCTTCATTGGGATGTTTCAATTGAAGTCACAGTGTTGAACAGTCCCTTTCATAGAGCAGGTTTGAAACACTCTTTTTGTAGTATCTGGATGTGGACATTTGGAGCGCTTTCAGGCCTATGGTGAAAAAGGAAATATCTTCCCCTGAAAACTAGACAGAAGCATTCTCAGAAACTTATTTGTGATGTGCGCCCTCAACTAACAGTGTTGAAGCTTTCTCTTGATAGAGCAGTTTTGAAACACTCTTTTTGTGGAATCTGCACGTGGATATTTGTCTAGCTTTGAGGATTTCGTTGGAAACGGGATTACATATAAAAAGCAGACAGCAGCATTCTCAGAAACTTATTTGTGATGTGCGCCCTCAACTAACAGTGTTGAAGCTTTCTTTTGATAGAGCAGTTTTGAAACACTCTTTTTGTAATATCTGCAAGAGGATATTTGGATAGCTTTGAGGATTTCGTTGGAAACGGGATTAATTATACAAAGCAGACAGCAGCATTCTCAGAAGCTTCATTGGGATGTTTCAATTGAAGTCACAGTGTTGAACAGTCCCTTTCATAGAGCAGGTTTGAAACACTCTTTTTGTAGTATCTGGAAGTGGACATTTGGAGAGATCTCAGGAATACGGTTATAAAGGAAATATCTTCCAATAAAAGCTAGATAGAAGCAATGTCAGAAACTTTTTCATGATGTATCTACTCAGCTAACAGAGTTGAACCTTCCTTTGAGAGAGCAGTTTTGAAACACTCTTTTTGTGGAATCTGCAAGTGGATATTTGTCTAGCTTTGAGGATTTCGTTGGAAACGGGATTGTCTTCATATAAACTCTAGACAGAAGCATTCCCACAAACTTCTTTGTGATGTTTGCATTCAAGTCACAGAGTTGAACATTCCCTTTCATAGAGCAGGTTTGAAACACTCTTTTTGTAGTATCTGGATGTGGACATTTGGAGCGCTTTCAGGCCTATGGTGAAAAAGGAAATATCTTCCCCTGAAAACTAGACAGAAGCATTCTCAGAAACTTATTTGTGATGTGCGCCCTCAACTAACAGTGTTGAAGCTTTCTTTTGATAGAGCAGTTTTGAAACACTCTTTTTGTAAAATCTGCAAGAGGATATTTCGATAGCTTGGAGGATTTCGTTGGAAACGGGATTGTCTTCATATTAACCCTAGACAGTAGCATTCTCAGAAGCGTCATTGGGATGTTTGAATTGAAGTCACAGTGTTGAACAGTCCCTTTCATAGAGCAGGTTTGAAACACTCTTTTTGTAGTATCTGGATGTGGACATTTGGAGCGCTTTCAGGCCTATGGTTTAAAAGGAAATATCTTCCCCTGAAAACTAGACAGAAGCATTCTCAGAAACTTATTTCTGATGTGCGCCCTCAACTAACAGTGTTGAAGCATTCTTTTGATAGAGCAGTTTTGAAACACTCTTTTTGTGGAATCTGTAAGTGGATATTTGTCTAGCTTTGAGGATTTCGTTGGAAACGGGATTACATATAAAAAGCAGACAGCAGCATTCTCAGAATCTTATTTGTGATGTGCGCCCTCCACTAACAGTGTTGAAGCTTTCTTTTGATAGAGCAGTTTTGAAACACTCTTTTTGTAAAATCTGCAAGAGGATATTTGGATAGCTATGAGGATTTCATTGGAAACGGGATTGTCTTCATATAAACTCTAGACAGAAGCATTCTCAGAAGCTTCATTGGGATGTGTCAATTGAATTCACAGTGTTGAACATTCCGTTTCATAGAGCAGGTTTGAAACACTCTTTTTGTAGTATCTGGAAGTGGACATTTGGAGAGATCTCAGGACTACGGTGAAAAAGGAAATAGCTTCCAATAAAAGCTAGATAGAAGCAATGTCAGAAACTTTTTCATGATGTATCTACTCAGCTAACAGAGTTGAACCTTCCTTTGAGAGAGCAGTTTTGAAACACTCTTTTTGTGGAATCTGCAAGTGGATATTTGTCTAGCTTTGAGGATTGCGTTGGAAACGGGATTACATATAAAAAGCAGACAGCAGCATTCCCAGTAACTTCTTTGTGATGTTTGCATTCAAGTCAGAGAGTTGAACATTCCCTTTCATAGAGCAGGTTTGAAACTCTCTTTTTGAAGTATCTGGTTGTGGACATTTGGAGCGCTTTCAGGCCTATGGTGAAAAAGGAAATATCTTCCCCTGAAAACTAGACAGAAGCATTCTCAGAAACTTATTTGTGATGTGCGCCCTCAACTAACAGTGTTGAACCTTTCTTTTGATAGAGCAGTTTTGAAACACTCTTTTTGTAATATCTGCAAGAGGATATTTGGATAGCTTTGAGGATTTCGTTGGAAACGGGATTGTCTTCATATAAACTCTAGACAGAAGCATTCTCAGAAGCGTCATTGGGATGTTTCAATTGAAGTCACACTGTTGAACAGTCCCTTTCATAGAGCAGGTTTGAAACACTCTTTTTGTAGTATCTGGATGTGGACATTTGGAGCGCTTTCAGGCCTATGGTTTAAAAGGAAATATCTTCCCCTGAAAACTAGACAGAAGCATTCTCAGAAACTTATTTGTGATGTGCGCCTTCAACTAACAGTGTTGAAGCATTCTTTTGATAGAGCAGTTTTGAAACACTCTTTTTGTGGAATCTGCAAGTGGATATTTGTCTAGCTTTGAGGATTTCGTTGGAAACGGGATTACATATAAAAAGCAGACAGCAGCATTCTCAGAAACTTATTTGTGATGTGCGCCCTCAACTAACCGTGTTGAACTTTTTTTTGATAGAGCAGTTTTGAAACACTCTTTTTGTAATATCTGCAAGAGGATATTTGGATAGCTTTGAGGATTTCGTTGGAAACGGGATTGTCTTCATATAAACTCTAGACAGAAGCATTCTCAGAAGCTTCATTGGGATGTTTCAATTGAAGTCACAGTGTTGAACAGTTCCTTTCATAGCAACAGGTTTGAAACACTCTTTTTGTAGTATCTGGAAGTGGACATTTGGAGCGCTCTCAGGACTACGGTGAAAAAGGAAATATCTTCCAATAAAAGCTACATAGAAGCAATGTGAGAAACTTTTTCAAGATGTATCTACTCAGCTAACAGAGTTGAACCTTTCCTTTGAGAGAGCAGTTTTGAAACACTCTTTTTGTGGAATCTGCAAGTGGATATTTGTCTAGCTTTGAGGATTTCGTTGGAAACGGGATTACATATAAAAAGCAGACAGCAGCATTCCCAGAAACTTCCTTTGTGATATTTGCATTCAAGTCACAGACTTGAACATTCCCTTCCATAGAGCGGGTTTGAAACACTCTTTTTGTAGTATCTGGATGTGGACATTTGGAGCGCTTTCAGGCCTATGGTGAAAAAGGAAATATCTTACCCTGAAAACTAGACAGAAGCATTCTCAGAATCTTATTTGTGATGTGCGCCCTCAACTAACAGAGTTGAAGCTTTCTTTTGATAGAGCAGTTTTGAAACACTCTTTTTGTAAAATCTGCAAGAGGATATTTGGATAGCTTTGAGGATTTCGTTGGAAACGGGATTGTCTTCATATAAACTCTAGACAGAAGCATTCTCAGAAGCTTCATTGGGATGTTTCAATTGAAGTCACAGTGTTGAACAGTCCCTTTCATAGAGCAGGTTTGAAACACTCTTTTTGTAGTATCTGGATGTGGACATTTGGAGCGCTTTCAGGCCTATGGTGAAAAAGGAAATATCTTCCCCTGAAAACTAGACAGAAGCATTCTCAGAAACTTATTTGTGATGTGCGCCCTCAACTAACAGTGTTGAAGCATTCTTTTGATAGAGCAGTATTGAAACACTCTTTTTGTGGAATCTGCAAGTGGATATTTGTCTAGCTTTGAGGATTTCGTTGGAAAAGGAATTACATATAAAAAGCAGACAGCAGCATTCTCAGAAACTTATTTGTGATGTGCGCCCTCAACTAACAGTGTTGAAGCTTTCTTTTGATAGAGCAGTTTTGAAACACTCTTTTTGTAATATCTGCAAGAGGATATTTGGATAGCTTTGAGGATTTCGTTGGAAACGGGATTAATTATACAAAGCAGACAGCAGCATTCTCAGAAGCTTCATTGGGATGTTTCAATTGAAGTCACAGTGTTGAACAGTCCCTTTCATAGAGCAGGTTTGAAACACTCTTTTTGTAGTATCTGGAAGTGGACATTTGGAGCGCTCTCAGACTGCGGTGAAAAAGGAAATATCTTCCAATAAAAGCTACATAGAAGCAATGTCAGAAACTTTTTCATGATGTATCTACTCAGCTAACAGAGTTGAACCTTTCCTTTGAGAGAGCAGTTTTGAAACACTCTTTTTGTGGAATCTGCAAGTGGATATTTGTCTAGCTTTGAGGATTTCGTTGGAAACGGGATTACATATAAAAAGCAGACAGCAGCATTCCCAGAATCTTGTTTGTGATGTTTGCATTCAAGTCACAGAGTTGAACATTCCCTTTCAGAGAGCAGGTTTGAAACACTCTTTTTATAGTATCTGGATGTGGACATTTGGAGCGCTTTCAGGACTATGGTGAAAAAGGAAATATCTTCTCCTGTAAACTAGACAGAAGCATTCTCAGAAACTTATTTGTGATGTGCGCCCTCAACTAACAGTGTTGAACCTTTCTTTTGATAGAGCAGTTTTGATACACTCTTTTTGTAAAATCCGCAAGAGGATATTTGGATAGCTTTGAGGATTTCGTTGGAAACGGGATTGTCTTCATATAGAATCTAGACAGAAGCATTCTCAGAAGCTTCATTGGGATGTTTCAATTGAAGTCACAGTGTTGAACAGTCCCTTTCATAGAGCAGGTTTGAAACACTCTTTTTGTAGTATCTGGATGTGGACATTTGGAGCGCTTTCAGGCCTATGGTTTAAAAGGAAATATCTTCCCCTGAAAACTAGACAGAAGCATTCTCAGAAACTTATTTGTGATGTGCGCCCTCAAGTAAGAGTGTTGAAGCATTCTTTTGATAGAGCAGTTTTGAAACACTCTTTTTGTGGAATCTGCAAGTGGATATTTGTCTAGCTTTGAGGATTTCGTTGGAAACGGGATTACATATAAAAAGCAGACAGCAGCATTCTCAGAAACTTATTTGTGATGTGCGCCCTCAACTAACAGTGTTGAAGCTTTCTTTTGATAGAGCAGTTTTGAAACACTCTTTTTGTAATATCTGCAAGAGGATATTTGGATAGCTTTGAGGATTTCGTTGGAAACGGGATTAATTATACAAAGCAGACAGCAACATTCTCAGAAGCTTCATTGGGATGTTTCAATTGAAGTCACAGTGTTGAACAGTCCCTTTCATAGAGCATGTTTGAAACAATCTTTTTGTAGTATCTGGAAGTTGACATTTGGAGCGCTCTCAGGACTACGGTGAAAAAGGAAATATCTTCCAAATAAAGCTAGATAGAAGCAATGTCAGAAAATTTTTCATGATGTATCTATTCAGCTAACAGAGTTGAACCTTTCTTTTGACAGAGCAGTTTTGAAACACTCTTTTTGTGGAATCTGCAAGTGGATATTTGTCTAGCTTTGAGGATTTCGTTGGAAACGGGATTACATATAAAAAGCAGAAAGCAGCATTCCCAGAAACTTCTTTGTGATATTTGCATTCAAGTCACAGACTTGAACATTCCCTTTCATAGAGCAGGTTTGAAACACTCTTTTTGTAGTATCTGGATGTGGACATTTGGAGCGCTTTCAGGCCTATGGTGAAAAAGGAAATATCTTCCCCTGAAAACTAGACAGAAGCATTCTCAGAATCTTATTTGTGATGTGCGCCCTCAACTAACAGTGTTGAAGCTTTCTTTTGATAGAGCAGTTTTGAAACACTCTTTTTGTAAAATCTGCAAGAGGATATTTGGATAGCTTTGAGGATTTCATTGGAAACGGGATTGTCTTCATATAAACTCTAGACAGAAGCATTCTCAGTAAGCTTCATTGGGATGTTTCAATTGAAGTCACAGTGTTGAACAGTCCCTTTCATAGAGCAGGTTTGAAACACTCTTTTTGTAGTATCTGGATGTGGACATTTGGAGCGCTTTCAGGCCTATGGTTTAAAAGGAAATATCTTCCCCTGAAAACTAGACAGAAGCATTCTCAGAAACTTATTTGTGATGTGCGCCCTCAACTAACAGTGTTGAAGCTTTCTTTTGATAGAGCAGTTTTGAAACACTCTTTTTGTGGAATCTGCAAGTGGATATTTGTCTAGCTTTGAGGATTTCGTTGGAAACGGGATTACATATAAAAAGCAGACAGCAGCATTCTCAGAAACTTATTTGTGATGTGCGCCCTCAACTAACAGTGTTGAAGCTTTCTTTTGATAGAGCAGTTTTGAAACACTCTTTTTGTAATATCTGCAAGAGGATATTTGGATAGCTTTGAGGATTTCGTTGGAAACGGGATTAATTATACAAAGCAGACAGCAGCATTCTCAGAAGCTTCATTGGGATGTTTCAATTGAAGTCACAGTGTTGAACAGTCCCTTTCATAGAGCAGGTTTGAAACACTCTTTTTGTAGTATCTGGAAGTGGACATTTGGAGAGATCTCAGGAATACGGTGATAAAGGAAATATCTTCCAATAAAAGCTAGATAGATAAGCAATGTCAGAAACTTTTTCAGGATGTATCTACTCAGCTAACAGTGTTGAACCTTTCTTTTGAGAGAGCAGTTTTGAAACACTCTTTTTGTGGAATCTGGAAGTGGATATTTGTCTAGCTTTGAGGATTTCGTTGGAAACGGGATTACATATAAAAAGCAGACAGCAGCATTCCCAGTAACTTATTTGTGATGTTTGCATTCAAGTCACAGAGTTGAACATTCCCTTTCATAGAGCAGGTTTGAAACACTCTTTTTGTAGTATCTGGATGCGGACATTTGGAGCGCTTTCAGGCCTATGGTGAAAAAGGAAATATCTTCCCCTGAAAACTAGACAGAAGCATTCTCAGAATCTTATTTGTGATGTGCGCCCTCAACTAACAGTGTTGAAGCTTTCTTTTGATAGAGCAGTTTTGAAACACTCTTTTTGTAAAATCTGCAAGAGGATATTTGGATAGCTTTGAGGATTTCGTTGGAAACGGGATTGTCTTCATATAAACTCTAGACAGAAGCATTCTCAGAAGCTTCATTGGGATGTTTCAATTGAAGTCACAGTGTTGAACAGTCCCTTTCATAGAGCAGGTTTGAAACACTCTTTTTGTAGTATCTGGATGTGGTCATTTGGAGCGCTTTCAGGCCTATGGTGAAAAAGGAAATATCTTCCCCTGAAAACTAGACAGAAGCATTCTCAGAAACTTATTTGTGATGTGCGCCCTCAACTAACAGTGTTGAAGCTTTCTTTTGATAGAGCAGTTTTGAAACACTCTTTTTGTGGCATCTGCAAGTGGATATTTGTCTAGCTTTGAGAATTTCGTTTGAAACGGGATTACATATAAAAAGCAGACAGCAGCATTCTCAGAAACTTATTTGTGATGTGCGCCCTCAACTAACAGTGTTGAAGCTTTCTTTTGATAGAGCAGTTTTGAAACACTCTTTTTGTAATATCTGCAAGAGGATATTTGGATAGCTTTGAGGATTTCGTTGGAAACGGGATTAATTATACAAAGCAGACAGCAGCATTCTCAGAAGCTTCACTGCGATGTTTCAATTGAAGTCACAGTGTTGAACAGTCCCTTTCATAGAGCAGGTTTGAAACACTCTTTTTGTAGTATCTGGAAGTGGACATTTGGAGCGCTCTCAGGACTACGGTGAAAAAGGAAATATCTTCCAATAAAAGCTAGATAGAAGCAATGTCAGAAACTTTTTCATGATGTATCTACTCAGCTAACAGAGTTGAACCTTTCTTTTGAGAGAGCAGTTTTGAAACACTCTTTTTGTGGAATCTGCAAGTGGATATTTGTCTAGCTTTGAGGATTTCGTTGGAAACGGGATTACATATAAAAAGCAGACAGCAGCATTCCCAGTAACTTCTTTGTGATATTTGCATTCAAGTCACAGATTTGAACATTCCCTTTCATAGAGCAGGTTTGAAACACTCTTTTTGTAGTATCTGGATGTGGACATTTGCAGCGCTTTCAGGCCTATGGTGAAAAAGGAAATATCTTCCCCTGAAAACTAGACAGAAGCATTCTCAGAATCTTATTTGTGATGTGCGCCCTCAACTAACAGTGTTGAAGCTTTCTTTTGATAGAGCAGTTTTGAAACACTCTTTTTGTAATATCTGCAAGAGGATATTTGGATAGCTTTGAGGATTTCCTTGGAAACGGGATTGTCTTCATATAAACTCTAGACAGAAGCATTCTCAGAAGCATCATGGGGATGTTTCAATTGAAGTCACAATGTTGAACAGTCCCTTTCATAGAGCAGGTTTGAAACACTCTTTTTGTAGTATCTGGATGTGGACATTTGAGCGCTTTCAGGCCTATGGTGAAAAAGGAAATATCTTCCCCTGAAAACTAGACAGAAGCATTCTCAGAAACTTATTTGTGATGTGCGCCCTCAACTAACAGTGTTGAAGCTTTCTTTTGATAGAGCAGTTTTGAAACACTCTTTTTGTGGAATCTGCAAGTGGATATTTGTCTAGCTTTGAGGATTTCGTTGGAAACGGGATTACATATAAAAAGCAGACAGCAGCATTCTCAGAAACTTATTTGTGATGTGCGCCCTCAACTAACAGTGTTGAAGCTTTATTTTGATAGAGCAGTTTTGAAACACTCTTTTTGTAATATCTGCAAGAGAATATTTGGATAGCTTTGAGGATTTCGTTGGAAACGGGATTGTCTTCATATAAACTCTAGAAAGAAGCATTCTCAGAAGCTTCATTGGGATGTTTCAATTGAAGTCACAGTGTTGAACAGTCCCTTTCATAGAGCAGGTTTGAAACACTCTTTTTGTAGTATCTGGAAGTGGACATTTGGAGAGATCTCAGGAATACGGTGATAAAGGAAATATCTTACAATAAAAGCTAGATAGAAGCAATGTCAGAAACTTTTTCATGATGTATCTACTCAGCTAACAGAGTTGAACCTTTCCTTTGAGAGAGCAGTTTTGAAACACTCTTTTTGTGGAATCTGCAATTGGATATTTGTCTAGCTTTGAGGATTTCGTTGGAAACGGGATTACATATAAAAAGCAGACAGCAGCATTCCCAGTAACTTCTTTGTGATGTTTGCATTCAAGTCACAGAGTTGAACATTCCCTTTCATAGAGCAGGTTTGAAACACTCTTTTTGTAGTATCTGGATGTGGACATTTGGAGCGCTTTCAGGCCTATGGTGAAAAAGGAAATATCTTCCCCAGAAAAGTAGACAGAAGCATTCTCAGAAACTTATTTGTGATGTGCGCCCTAAACTAACAGTAGTTGAACCTTTCTTTTGATAGAGCAGTTTTGAAACACTCTTTTTGTAATATCTGCAAGAGGATATTTGGATAGCTTTGAGGATTTCGTTGGAAACGGGATTGACTTCATATAAACTCTAGACAGAAACATTCTCAGAAGCTTCATTGGGATGTTTCAATTGAAGTCACAGTGTTGAACAGTTCCTTTCATAGAACAGGTTTGAAACACTCTTTTTGTAGTATCTGGAAGTGGACATTTGGAGCGCTCTCAGGACTACGGTGAAAAAGGAAATATCTTAAAATAAAAGCTACATAGAAGCATTCTCAGAAACTTATTTGTGATGTGCGCCCTCAACTAACAGTGTTGAAGCTTTCTTTTGATAGAGCAGTTTTGAAACACTCTTTTTGTGGAATCTGCAAGTGGATATTTGTCTAGCTTTGAGGATTTCGTTGGAAACGGGATTACATATAAAAAGCAGACAGCAGCATTCTCAGAAACTTATTTGTGATGTGCGCCCTCAACTAACAGTGTTGAAGCTTTCTTTTGATAGAGCAGTTTTGAAACACTCTTTTTGTAATATCTGCAAGAGGATATTTGGATAGCTTTGAGGATTTCGTTGGAAACGGGATTAATTATACAAAGCAGACAGCAGCATTCTCAGAAGCTTCATTGGGATGTTTCAATTGAAGTCACAGTGTTGAACAGTCCCTTTCATAGAGCAGGTTTGAAACACTCTTTTTGTAGTATCTGGAAGTGGACATTTGGAGAGATCTCAGGACTACGGTGAAAAAGGAAATATCTTCCAATAAAAGCTAGATAGAAGCAATGTCAGAAACTTTTTCATGATGTATCTACTCAGCTAAAAGAGTTGAACCTTTCTTTTGCGAGATCAGTTTTGAAACACTATTTTTGTGGAATCTGCAAGTGGATATTTGTCTAGCTTTGAGGATTTCGTTGGAAACGGGATTACATATAAAAAGCAGACAGCAGCATTCCCAGAAACTTCTTTGTGATGTTTGCATTCAAGTCACAGAGTTGAACATTCCCTTTCAGAGAGCAGGTTTGAAACACTCTTTTTGTAGTATCTGGATGTGGACATTTGGAGCGCTTTCAGGCCTATGGTGAAAAAGGAAATATCTTCCCCTGAAAACTAGACAGAAAGCATTCTCAGAATCTTATTTGTGATGTGCGCCCTCAACTAACAGTGTTGAAGCTTTCTTTTGATAGAGCAGTTTTGAAACACTCTTTTTGTAAAATCTGCAAGAGGATATTTGGATAGCTTTGAGGATTTCGTTGGAAACGGGATTGTCTTCATATAAACTCTAGACAGAAGCATTCTCAGAAGCTTCATTGGGATGTTTCAATTGAAGTCACAGTGTTGAAAAGTCCCTTTCATAGAGCAGGTTTGAAACACTCTTTTTGTAGTATCTGGAAGTGGACATTTGGAGCGCTCTCAGGACTACGGTGAAAAAGGAAATATCTTCCAATAAAAGCTACATAGAAGCATTCTCAGAAACTTATTTGTGATGTGCGCCCTCAACTAACAGTGTTGAACCTTTCTTTTGATAGAGCAGTTTTGAAACACTCTTTTTGTAAAATCTGCAAGAGGATATTTGTCTAGCTTTGAGGATTTCGTTGGAAACGGGATTATATAAAAAGCAGACAGCAGCATTCTCAGAAACTTATTTGTGATGTGCGCCCTCAACTAACAGTGTTGAAGCTTTCTTTTGATAGAGCAGTTTTGAAACACTCTTTTTGTAATATCTGCAAGAGGATATTTGGATAGCTTTGAGGATTTCGTTGGAAACGGGATTAATTATACAAAGCAGACAGCAGCATTCTCAGAAGCTTCATTGGGATGTTTCAATTGAAGTCACCGTGTTGAACAGTTCCTTTCATAGAACAGGTTTGAAACACTCTTTTTGTAGTATCTGGATGTGGACATTTGGAGCGCTCTCAGGACTATGGTGAAAAAGGAAATATCTTCCAATAAAAGCTACATAGAAGCAATGTCAGAAACTTTTTCATGATGTATCTACTCAGATAACAGAGTTGAACCTTTCTTTTGAGAGAGCAGTTTTGAAACACTCTTTTTGTGGAATCTGCAAGTGGATATTTGTCTAGCTTTGAGGATTTCGTTGGAAACGGGATTACATATAAAAAGCAGACAGCAGCATTCCCAGAAACTTCTTTGTGATGTTTGCATTCAAGTCACAGAGTTGAACATTCCCTTTCATAGAGCAGGTTTGAAACACTCTTTTTGTAGTATCTGGATGTGGACATTTGCAGCGCTTTCAGGCCTAAGGTGAAAAAGGAAATATCTTCCCCTGAAAACTAGACAGAAGCATTCTCAGAAACTTATTTGTGATGTGCGCCCTCAACTAACAGTGTTGAACATTTCTTTTGATAGAGCAGTTTTGAAACACTCTTTTTGTAAAATCTGCAAGAGGATATTTGGATAGCTTTGAGGATTTCGTTGGAAACGGGATTGTCTTCATATAAAATCTAGACAGAAGCATTCTCAGAAGCTTCATTGGGATGTTTCAATTGAAGTCACAGTGTTGAACAGTCCCTTTCATAGAGCAGGTTTGAAACACTCTTTTTGTAGTATCTGGATGTGGACATTTGGAGCGCTTTCAGGCCTATGGTGAAAAAGGAAATATCTTCCCCTGAAAACTAGACAGAAGCATTCTCAGAAACTTATTTGTGATGTGCCCCCTCAACTAACAGTGTTGAAGCTTTCTTTTGATAGAGCAGTTTTGAAACACTCTTTTTGTGGAATCTGCAAGTGGATATTTGTCTAGCTTTGAGGATTTCGTTGGAAACGGGATTACATATAAAAAGCAGACAGCAGCATTCTCAGAAACTTATTTGTGATGTGCGCCCTCAACTAACAGTGTTGAAGCTTTCTTTTGATAGAGCAGTTTTGAAACACTCTTTTTGTAATATCTGCAAGAGGATATTTGGATAGCTTTGAGGATTTCGTTGGAAACGGGATTAATTATACAAAGCAGACAGCAGCATTCTCAGAAGCTTCATTGGGATGTTTCAATTGAAGTCACAGTGTTGAACAGTCCCTTTCATAGAGCAGGTTTGAAACACTCTTTTTGTAGTATCTGGAAGTCGACATTTGGAGCGCTCTCAGGACTGCGGTGAAAAAGGAAATATCTTCCAATAAAAGCTAGATAGAAGCAATGTCAGAAACTTTTTCATGATGTATCTACTCAGCTAACAGAGTTGAACCTTTCTTTTGAGAGAGCACTTTTGAAACACTCTTTTTGTGGAATCTGCAAGTGGATATTTGTCTAGCTCTGAGGATTTCGTTGGAAACGGGATTACATATAAAAAGCTGACAGCAGCATTCCCAGAAAGTTCTTTGTGAAATTTGCATTCAAGTCACAGACTTGAACATTCCCTTTCACAGAGCAGGTTTGAAACACTCTTTTTGTAGTATCTGGATGCGGACATTTGGAGCGCTTTCAGGCCTATGGTGAAAAAGGAAATATCTTCCCCTGAAAACAAGACAGAAGCATTCTCAGAATCTTATTTGTGATGTGCGCCCTCAACTAACAGTGTTGAAGCTTTCTTTTGATAGAGCAGTTTTGAAACACTCTTTTTGTAAAATCTGCAAGAGGATATTTGGATAGCTTTGAGGATTTCGTTGGAAACGGTTTTGTCTTCATATAAACTCTAGACAGAAGCATTCTCAGAAGCTTCATTGGGATGTTTCAATTGAAGTCACAGTGTTGAACAGTCCCTTTCATAGAGCAGGTTTGAAACACTCTTTTTGTAGTATCTGGATGTGGACATTTGGAGCGCTTTCAGGCCTATGGTGAAAAAGGAAATATCTTCCCCTGAAAACTAGACAGAAGCATTCTCAGAAACTTATTTGTGATGTGCGCCCTCAACTAACAGTGTTGAAGCTTTCTTTTGATAGAGCAGTTTTGAAACACTCTTTTTGTAATATCTGCAAGAGGATATTTGGATAGCTTTGAGGATTTCGTTGGAAACGGGATTAATTATAAAAAGCAGACAGCAGCATTCTCAGTAAACTTATTTGTGATGTGCGCCCTCAACTAACAGTGTTGAACCTTTCTTTTGATAGAGCAGTTTTGAAACACTCTTTTTGTAATATCTGCAAGAGGATATTTGGATAGCTTTGAGGATTTCGTTGGAAACGGGATTGTCTTCATATAAACTCTAGACAGAAGCATTCTCAGAAGCTTCATTGGGATGTTTCAATTGAAGTCACAGTGTTGAACAGTCCCTTTCATAGAGCAGGTTTGAAACACTCTTTTTGTAGTATCTGGAAGTGGACATTTGGAGAGATCTCAGGAATACGGTGATAAAGGAAATATCTTCCAATAAAAGCTAGATAGAAGCAATGTCAGAAAATTTCTCATGATGTATCTATTCAGCTAACAGAGTTGAACCTTTCTTTTGACAGAGCAGTTTTGAAACACTCTTTTTGTGGAATCTGCAAGTGGATATTTGTCTAGCTTTGAGGATTTCGTTGGAAACGGGATTACATATAAAAAGCAGACAGCAGCATTCCCAGAAACTTCTTTGTGATGTTTGCATTCAAGTCACAGAGTTGAACATTCCCTTTCATAGAGCAGGTTTGAAACACTCTTTTTGTAGTATCTGGATGTGGACATTTGGAGCGCTTTCAGGCCTATGGTGAAAAAGGAAATATCTTCCCCTGAAAACTAGACAGAAGCATTCTCAGAAACTTATTTGTGATGTGCGCCCTCAACTAACAGTGTTGAAGCTTTCTTTTCATAGAGCAGTTTTGAAACACTCTTTTTGTAAAATCTGCAAGAGGATATTTGGATAGCTTTGAGGATTTCGTTGGAAACGGGATTGTCTTCATATAAAATCTAGACAGAAGCATTCTCAGAAGCTTCATTGGGATGTTTCAATTGAAGTCACAGTGTTGAACAGTCCCTTTCATAGAGCAGGTTTGAAACACTCTTTTTGTAGTATCTGGATGTGGACATTTGGAGCGCCTTCAGGCCTATGGTTTAAAAGGAAATATCTTCCCCTGAAAACTAGACAGAAGCATTCTCAGAAACTTATTTGTGATGTGCGCCCTCAACTAACAGTGTTGAAGCATTCTTTTGATAGAGCAGTTTTGAAACACTCTTTTTGTGGAATCTGCAAGTGGATATTTGTCTAGCTTTGAGGATTTCGTTGGAAACGGGATTACATATAAAAAGCAGACAGCTAAGCATTCTCCGAAACTTATTTGTGATGGGCGCCCTCAACTAACAGTGTTGAAGCTTTCTTTTGATAGAGCAGTTTTGAAACACTCTTTTTGTAATATCTGCAAGAGGATATTTGGATAGCTTTCAGGATTTCGTTGGAAACGGGATTGTCTTCATATAAACTCTAGACATAAGCATTCTCAGGAGCTTCATTGGGATGTTTCAATTGAAGTCACAGTGTTGAACAGTCCCTTTCATAGAGCAGGTTTGAAACACTCTTTTTGTACCATCTGGAAGTGGACATTTGGAGCGTTCTCAGGACTACGGTGAAAAAGGAAATATCTTCCAATAAAGGCTAGATAGAAGAAATGTCAGAAAATTTTTCATGATGTATCTACTCAGCTAACAGAGTTGAACCATTCTTTTCAGAGAGCAGTTTTGAAACACTCTTTTTGTGGAATCTGCAAGTGGATATTTGTCTAGCTTTGAGGATTTCGTTGGAAACAGGATTACATATAAAAAGCAGACAGCAGCATTCCCAGAAATTTCTTTGTGATGTTTGCATTCAAGTCACAGAGTTGAACATTCCCTTTCTTAGAGCAGGTTTGAAACACTCTTTTTGTAGTATCTGGATGTGGACATTTGGAGCGCTTTCAGGCCTATGGTGAAAAAGGAAATATCTTCCCCTGAAAACTAGACAGAAGCATTCTCAGAAACTTATTTGTGATGTGCGCCCTCAACTAACAGTGTTGAAGCTTTCTTTTGATAGAGCAGTTTTGAAACACTCTTTTTGTAAAATCTGCAAGAGGATATTTGGATAGCTTTGAGGATTTCGTTGGAAACGGGATTGTCTTCATATAAACTCTAGACAGAAGCATTCTCAGAAGCTTCATTGGGATGTTTCAATTGAAGTTGCAGTGTTGAACAGTCCCTTTCATAGAGCAGGTTTGAAACACTCTTTTTGTAGTATCTGGATGTGGACATTTGGAGCGCTTTCAGGCCTATGGTTTAAAAGGAAATATCTTCCCCTGAAAACTAGACAGAAGCATTCTCAGAAACTTATTTGTGATGTGCGCCCTCAACTAACAGTGTTGAAGCTTTCTTTTGATAGAGCAGTTTTGAAACACTCTTTTTGTGGAATCTGCAAGTGGATATTTGTCTAGCTTTGAGGATTTCGTTGGAAACGGGATTACATATAAAAAGCAGACAGCAGCATTCTCAGTAAACTTATTTGTGATGTGCGCCCTCAACTAACAGTGTTGAACCTTTCTTTTGATAGAGCAGTTTTGAAACACTCTTTTTGTAATATCTGCAAGAGGATATTTGGATAGCTTTGAGGATTTCGTTGGAAACGGGATTGTCTTCATATAAACTCTAGACAGAAGCATTCTCAGAAGCGTCATTGGGATGTTTCAATTGAAGTCACAGTGTTGAACAGTCCCTTTCATAGAGCAGGTTTGAAACACTGTTTTTGTAGTACCTGGAAGTGGACATTTTGAGAGATCTCAGGAATACGGTGATAAAGGAAATATCTTCCAATAAAAGCTAGATAGAAGCAATGTCAGAAACTTTTTCATGATGTATCTACTCAGCTAACAGTGTTGAACCTTTCTTTTGAGAGAGCAGTTTTGAAACACTCTTTTTGTGGAATCTGCAAGTGGATATTTGTCTAGCTTTGAGGATTTCGTTGGAAACGGGATTACATATAAAAAGCAGACAGCAGCATTCCCAGAAACTTCTTTGTGATGTTTGCATTCAAGTCACAGAGTTCAACATTCCCTTTCAGAGAGCAGGTTTGAAACACTCTTTTTATAGTATCTGGATGTGGACATTTGGAGCGCTTTGAGGCCTATGGTGAAAAAGGAAATATCTTCTCCTGAAAACTAGACAGAAGCATTCTCAGAATCTTATTTGTGATGTGCGCCCTCAACTAACACTGTTGAAGCTTTCTTTTGATAGAGCAGTTTTGAAACACTCTTTTCGTAAAATCGGCAAGAGGATATTTTGATAGATTTGAGGATTTCGTTGGAAACGGGATTGTCTTCATATAAACTCTAGACAGAAGCATTCTCAGAAGCGTCATTGGGATGTTTCAATTGAAGTCACAGTGTTGAACAGTCCCTTTCATAGAGCAGGTTTGAAACACTCTTTTTGTAGTATCTGGATGTGGACATTTGGAGCGCTTTCAGGCCTATGGTTTAAAAGGAAATATCTTCCCCTGAAAACTAGACAGAAGCATTCTCAGAAACTTATTTGTGATGTGCCCCCTCAACTAACAGTGTTGAAGCTTTCTTTTGATAGAGCAGTTTTGAAACACTCTTTTTGTGGAATCTGCAAGTGGATATTTGTCTAGCTTTGAGGATTTCGTTGGAAACGGGATTACATATAAAAAGCAGACAGCAGCATTCTCAGAATCTTATTTGTGATGTGCGCCCTCAACTAACAGTGTTGAAGCTTTCTTTTGATAGAGCAGTTTTGAAACACCCTTTTTGTAAAATCTGCAAGAGGATATTTGGATAGCTTTGAGGATTTCGTTTGAAACGGGATTGTCTTCATATAAACTCTAGACAGAAGCATTCTCAGAAGCTTCATTGGGATGTTTCAATTGAAGTCACGGTGTTGAACAGTCCCTTTCATAGAGCAGGTTTGAAACACTCTTTTTGTAGTATCTGGAAGTGGACATTTGGAGCGCTCTCAGGACTACTGTGAAAAAGGAAATATCTTCCAATAAAAGCTAGATTGAAGCAATGTCAGAAACTTTTTCATGATGTATCTACTCAGCTAACAGAGTTGAACCTTTCTTTTGAGAGAGCAGTTTTGAAACACTCTTTTTATGGAATCTGCAAGTGGATATTTGTCTAGCTTTGAGGATTTCGTTGGAAACGGGATTATAGATAAAAAGCAGACAGCAGCATTCCCAGTAACTTCTTTGTGATGTTTGCATTCAAGTCACAGAGTTGAACATTGCCTTTCATAGAGCAGGTTTCAAACACTCTTTTTGTAGTATCTGGATGTGGACATTTGGAGCGCTTTCAGGCCTATGGTGAAAAAGGAAATATCTTCCCCTGAAAACTAGACAGAAGCATTCTCAGAAACTTATTTGTGATGTGCGCCCTCAACTAACAGTGTTGAACCTTTCTTTTGATAGAGCAGTTTTGAAACACTCTTTTTGTAAAATCTGCAAGAGGATATTTGGATAGCTTTGAGGATTGCGTTGGAAACGGGATTGTCTTCATATAGAATCTAGACAGAAGCATTCTCAGAAGCTTCATTGGGATGTTTCAATTGAAGTCACAGTGTTGAACAGTCCCTTTCATAGAGCAGGTTTGAAACACTCTTTTTGTAGTATCTGGATGTGGACATTTGGAGCGCTTTCAGGCATATGGTGAAAAAGGAAATATCTTCCCCTGAAAACTAGACAGAAGCATTCTCAGAAACTTATTTCTGATGTGCCCCCTCAACTAACAGTGTTGAAGCTTTCTTTTGATAGAGCAGTTTTGAAACACTCTTTTTGTGGAATCTGCAAGTGGATATTTGTCTAGCTTTGAGGATTTCGTTGGAAACGGGATTACATATAAAAAGCAGACAGCAGCATTCTCAGAAACTTATTTGTGATGTGCGCCCTCAACTAACAGTGTTGAAGCTTTCTTTTGATAGAGCAGTTTTGAAACACTCTTTTTGTAATATCTGCAAGAGGATATTTGGATAGCTTTGAGGATTTCGTTGGAAACGGGATTAATTATACAAAGCAGACAGCAGCATTCTCAGAAGCTTCATTGGGATGTTTCAATTGAAGTCACAGTGTTGAACAGTCCCTTTCGTAGAGCAGGTTTGAAACACTCTTTTTGTAATATCTGGAAGTGGACATTTGGAGCGTTCTCAGGACTACGGTGAAAAAGGAAATATCTTCCAATAAAAGCTACATAGAAGCAATGTCAGAAACTTTTTCATGATGTATCTACTCAGCTAACAGAGGTGAACCTTTCTTTTGAGAGAGCCGTTTTGAAACACTCTTTTTGTTGGATCTGCAGGTGGATATTTGTCTAGGTTTGAGGATTTCGTTGGAAACGGGATTACATATAAAAAGCAGACAGCAGCATTCCCAGAAACTTCTTTGTGATGTTTGCATTCAAGTCACAGAGTTGAACATTCCCTTTCATAGAGCAGGTTTGAAACACTCTTTTTGTAGTATCTGGATGTGGACATTTGGAGCGCTTTCAGGCCTATGGTGAAAAAGGAAATATCTTCCCCTGAAAACTAGACAGAAGCATTCTCAGAATTTTATTTGTGATGTGCGCCCTCAACTAACAGTGTTGAAGCTTTCTTTTGATAGAGCAGTTTTGAAACACTCTTTTTGTAAAATCTGCTAG
Organism: Homo sapiens; assembly: GCF_000001405.40. NCBI lineage: Eukaryota > Metazoa > Chordata > Mammalia > Primates > Hominidae > Homo > Homo sapiens. The sequence goes on from NC_000002.12 coordinate 93,722,557, forward strand.
AGGATATTTGGATACCTTTGAGGATTTCTTTGGAAACGGGATTGTCTTCATATAAACTCTAGACAGAAGCATTCTCAGAAGCTTCATTGGGATGTTTCAATTGAAGTCACAGTGTTGAACAGTCCCTTTCATAGAGCAGGTTTGAAACACTCTTTTTGTAGTATCTGGATGTGGACATTTGGAGCGCTTTCAGGCCTATGGTTTAAAAGGAAATATCTTCCCCTGAAAACTAGACAGAAGCATTCTCAGAATCTTATTTGTGATGTGCGCCCTCAACTAACAGTGTTGAAGCTTTCTTTTGATAGAGCAGTTTTGAAACACTCTTTTTGTGGAATCTGCAAGTGGATATTTGTCTAGCTTTGAGGATTTCGTTGGAAACGGGATTACATATACAAAGCAGACAGCAGCATTCTCAGAAACTTATTTGTGATGTGCGCCCTCAACTAACAGTGTTGAAGCTTTATTTTGATAGAGCAGTTTTGAAACACTCTTTTTGTAATATCTGCAAGAGAATATTTGGATAGCTTTGAGGATTTCGTTGGAAACGGGATTGTCTTCATATAAACTCTAGAAAGAAGCATTCTCAGAAGCTTCATTGGGATGTTTCAGTTGAAGTCACAGTGTTGAACAGTCCCTTTCATAGAGCAGGTTTGAAACACTCTTTTTGTAGTATCTGGAAGTGGACATTTGGAGCGCTCTCAGGACTGCGGTGAAAAAGGAAATATCGTCCAATAAAAGCTACATAGAAGCAATGTCAGAAACTTTTTCATGATGTATCTACTCAGCTAACAGAGTTGAACCTTTCTTTTGAGAGAGCAGTTTTGAAACACTCTTTTTGTGGAATCTGCAAGTGGATATTTGTCTAGCATTGAGGATTTCGTTGGAAACGGGATTACATATAAAAAGCAGACAGCAGCATTCCCAGAAACTTCTTTGTGATGTTTGCATTCAAGTCACAGAGTTGAACATTCCCTTTCATAGAGCAGGTTTGAAACACTCTTTTTGTAGTATCTGGATGTGGACATTTGCAGCGCTTTCAGGCCTAAGGTGAAAAAGGAAATATCTTCCCCTGAAAACTAGACAGAAGCATTCTCAGAATCTTATTTGTGATGTGCGCCCTCAACTAACAGTGTTGAAGCTTTCTTTTGATAGAGCAGTTTTGAAACACTCTTTTTGTAAAATCTGCAAGAGGATATTTGGATAGCTTTGAGGATTTCGTTGGAAACGGGATTGTCTTCATATAAACTCTAGACAGAAGCATTCTCAGAAGCTTCATTGGGATGTTTCAATTGAAGTTGCAGTGTTGAACAGTCCCTTTCATAGAGCAGGTTTGAAACACTCTTTTTGTAGTATCTGGATGTGGACATTTGGAGCGCTTTCAGGCATATGGTTTAAAAGGAAATATCTTCCCCTGAAAACTAGACAGAAGCATTCTCAGAAACTTATTTGTGATGTGCGCCTTCAACTAACAGTGTTGAAGCATTCTTTTGATAGAGCAGTTTTGAAACACTCTTTTTGTGGAATCTGCAAGTGGATATTTGTCTAGCTTTGAGGATTTCGTTGGAAACGGGATTACATATAAAAAGCAGACAGCAGCATTCTCAGAATCTTATTTGTGATGTGCGCCCTCAACTAACAGTGTTGAAGCTTTCTTTTGATAGAGCAGTTTTGAAACACTCTTTTCGTAAAATCTGCAAAAGGATATTTTGATAGCTTTGAGGATTTCGTTGGAAATGGGATTGTCTTCATATAAACTCTAGACAGAAGCATTCTCAGAAGCTTCATTGGGATGTTTCAATTGAAGTCACAGTGTTGAACAGTCCCTTTCATAGAGCAGGTTTGAAACACTCTTTTTGTAGTATCTGGAAGTGGACATTTGGAGAGATCTCAGGAATACGGTGATAAAGGAAATATCTTCCAATAAAAGCTAGATAGAAGCAATGTCAGAAAATTTTTCATGATGTATCTACTCAGCTAACAGAGTTGAACCTTTCTTGTGAGAGAGCCGTTTTGAAACACTCTTTTTGTGGAATCTGCTAGTGGATATTTGTCTAGCTTTGAGGATTTCGTTGGAAACGGGATTACATATAAAAAGCAGACAGCAGCATTCCCAGAAACTTCTTTGTGATATTTGCATTCAAGTCACAGAGTTGAACATTCCCTTTCATAGAGCAGGTTTGAAACACTCTTTTTGTAGTATCTGGATGTGGACATTTGGAGCGCTTTCAGGCCTATGGTGAAAAAGGAAATATCTTCCCCTGAAAACTAGACAGAAGCATTCTCAGAAACTTATTTGTGATGTGCACCCTCAACTAACAGTGTTGAAGCTTTCTTTTGACAGAGCTGTTTGAAACACTCTTTTTGTAAAATCTGCAAGAGGATATTTGGATTGCTTTGAGGATTTCGGTGGAAATGGGATTGTCTTCATATAAACTCTAGACAGTAGCATTCTCAGAAGCTTCATTGGGATGTTTCAATTGAAGTCACAGTGTTGAACAGTCCCTTTCATAGAGCAGGTTTGAAACACTCTTTTTGTAGTATCTGGAAGTGGACATTTGGAGAGATCTCAGTAATACGGTGATAAAGGTAATATCTTCCAATAAAAGCTAGATAGATAAGCAATGTCAGAAACATTTTCGTGATGTATCTACTCAGCTAACAGAGTTGAAACTTTCTTTTGAGAGAGCAGTTTTGAAACACTCTTTTTGTGGAATCTGCAAGTGGATATTTGTCTAGCTTTGAGGATTTCGTTGGAAACGGGATTACATATAAAAAGCAGACAGCAGCATTCCCAGAATCTTCTTTGTGATGTTTGCATTCAAGTCACAGAGTTGAACATTCCGTTTCATAGAGCAGGTTTGAAACACTCTTTTTGAAGTATCTGGATGTGGACATTTGGAGCGCTTTCAGGCCTATGGTGAAAAAGGAAATATCTTCCCCTGAAAACTAGACAGAAGCATTCTCAGAAACTTATTTGTGATGTGCGCCCTCAACTAACAGTGTTGAACCTTTCTTTTGATAGAGCAGTTTTGAAACACTCTTTTTGTAATATCTGCAAGAGGATATTTGGATAGCTTTGAGGATTTCGTTGGAAACGGGATTGTCTTCATATAAACTCTAGACAGAAGCATTCTCAGAAGCTTCATTGGGATGTTTCAATTGAAGTCACAGTGTTGAACAGTCCCTTTCATAGAGCAGGTTTGAAACACTCTTTTTGTAGAATCTGGATGTGGACATTTGGAGCGCTTTCAGGCCTATGGTTTAAAAGGAAATATCTTCCCCTGAAAACTAGACAGAAGCATTCTCAGAAACTTATTTGTGATGTGCGCCCTCAACTAACAGTGTTGAAGCTTTCTTTTGATAGAGCAGTTTTGAAACACTCTTTTTGTGGAATCTGCAAGTGGATATTTGTCTAGCTTTGAGGATTTCGTTGGAAACGGGATTACATATAAAAAGCAGACAGCAGCATTCTCAGTAAACTTATTTGTGATGTGCGCCCTCAACTAACAGTGTTGAACCTTTCTTTTGATAGAGCAGTTTTGAAACACTCTTTTTGTAATATCTGCAAGAGGATATTTGGATAGCTTTGAGGATTTCGTTGGAAACGGGATTGTCTTCATATAAACTCTAGACAGAAGCATTCTCAGAAGCTTCTTTGGGATGTTTCAATTGAAGTCACAGTGTTGAACAGTTCCTTTCATAGAACAGGTTTGAAACACTCTTTTTGTAGTATCTGGAAGTGGACATTTGGAGCGCTCTCAGGACTATGGTGAAAAAGGAAATATCTTCCAATAAAAGCTACATAGAAGCAATGTCAGAAACTTTTTCATGATGTATCTACTCAGCTAACAGAGTTGAACCTTTCCTTTGAGAGAGCAGTTTTGAAACACTCTTTTTGTGGAATCTGCAGGTGGATATTTGTCTAGCTTTGAGGATTTCGTTGGAAACGGGATTACATATAAAAAGCAGACAGCAGCATTCCCAGAAACTTCTTTGTGAAGATTGCATTCAAGTCACAGAGTTGAACATTCCCTTTCATAGAGCAGGTTTGAAACACTCTTTTTGTAGTATCTTGGATGTGGACATTTGGAGCGCTTTCAGGCCTATGGTGAAAAAGGAAATATCTTCCCCTGAAAACTAGACAGAAGCATTCTCAGAATCTTATTTGTGATGTGCGCCCTCAACTAACAGTGTTGAACCTTTCTTTTGATAGAGCAGTTTTGAAACACTCTTTTTGTAAAATCTGCAAGAGGATATTTGGATAGCTTGGAGGATTTCTTTGGAAACGGGATTGTCTTCATATAAACTCTAGACAGAAGCATTCCCAGTAACTTCTTTGTGATGTTTGCATTCAAGTCACAGAGTTGAATATTACCTTTCATAGAGCAGGTTTGAAACACTCTTTTTGTAGTATCTGGATGTGGACATTTGGAGCGCTTTCAGGCCTATGGTGAAAAAGGAAATATCTTCCCCTGAAAACTAGACAGAAGCATTCTCAGAAACTTATTTGTGATGTGCGCCCTCAACTAACAGTGTTGAACCTTTCTTTTGATAGAGCTGTTTTGAAACACTCTTTTTGTAATATCTGCAAGAGGATATTTGGATAGCTTTGAGGATTTCGTTGGAAACGGGATTACATATAAAAAGCAGACAGCTAAGCATTCTCCGAAACTTATTTGTGATGGGCGCCCTCAACTAACAGTGTTGAAGCTTTCTTTTGATAGAGCAGTTTTGAAACACTCTTTTTGTAATATCTGCAAGAGGATATTTGGATAGCTTTCAGGATTTCGTTGGAAACGGGATTGTCTTCATATAAACTCTAGACATAAGCATTCTCAGAAGCTTCATTGGGATGTTTCAATTAAAGTCACAGTGTTGAACAGTCCCTTTCATAGAGCAGGTTTGAAACACTCTTTTTGTAGTATCTGGAAGTGGACATTTGGAGCGCTCTCAGGACTGCGGTGAAAAAGGAAATATCTTCCAATAAAAGCTAGATAGAAGCAATGTCAGAAACTTTTTCATGATGTATCTACTCAGCTAACAGAGTTGAACCTTCCTTTGAGAGAGCAGTTTTGAAACACTCTTTTTGTGGAATCTGCAAGTGGATATTTGTCTAGCTTTGAGGATTTCGTTGGAAACGGGTTACATATAAAAAGCAGACAGCAGCATTCCCAGAAACTTCTTTGTGATGTTTGCATTCAAGTCACAGAGTTGAACATTCCCTTTCGTAGAGCAGGTTTGAAACACTCTTTTTGTAGTATCTGGATGTGGACATTTGGAGCGCTTTCAGGCCTATGGTGAAAAAGGAAATATCTTCCCCTGAACACTAGACAGAAGCATTCTCAGAATCTTATTTGTGATGTGCGCCCTCAACTAACAGTGTTGAAGCTTTCTTTTGATAGAGCAGTTTTGAAACACTCTTTTTGTAAAATCTGCAAGAGGATATTTGGATAGCTTTAAGGATTTCGTTGGAAACGGGATTGTCTTCATATAAACTCTAGACAGAAGCATTCTCAGAAGCTTCATTGGGATGTTTCAATTGAAGTCACAGTGTTGAACAGTCCCTTTCATAGAGCAGGTTTGAAACACTCTTTTTGTAGTATCTGGATGTGGACATTTGGAGCGCTTTCAGGCCTATGGTTTAAAAGGAAATATCTTCCCCTGAAAACTAGACAGAAGCATTCTCAGAAACTTATTTGTGATGTGCGCCCTCAACTAACAGTGTTGAAGCTTTCTTTTGATAGAGCAGTTTTGAAACACTCTTTTTGTGGAATCTGCAAGTGGATATTTGTCTAGCTTTGAGGATTTCGTTGGAAACGGGATTACATATAAAAAGCAGACAGCAGCATTCTCAGAAACTTATTTGTGATGTGCGCCCTCAACTAACAGTGTTGAAGCTTTATTTTGATAGAGCAGTTTTGAAACACTCTTTTTGTAATATCTGCAAGAGAATATTTGGATAGCTTTGAGGATTTCGTTGGAAACGGGATTGTCTTCATATAAACTCTAGAAAGAAGCATTCTCAGAAGCTTCATTGGGATGTTTCAATTGAAGTCACAGTGTTGAACAGTCCCTTTCATAGAGCAGGTTTGAAACACTCTTTTTGTAGTATCTGGATGTGGACATTTTGAGCGCTCTCAGGACTACGGTGATAAAGGAAATATCTTCCAATAAAAGCTAGATAGAAGCAATGTAAGAAAATTTTTCATGATGTATCTACTCAGCTAACAGAGTTGAACCTTTCTTTTGAGAGAGCAGTTTTGAAACACTCTTTTTGTGGAATCTGCAAGTGGATATTTGTCTAGGTTTGAGGATTGCGTTTGAAACGGGATTACATATAAAAAGCAGACAGCAGCATTCCCAGAAACTTCTTTGTGATGTTTGCATTCAAGTCACAGAGTTGAACATTCCCTTTCATAGAGCAGGTTTGAAACACTCTTTTTGTAGTATCTAGATGTGGACATTTGGAGCGCTTTCAGGCCTATGGTGAAAAAGGAAATATCTTCCCCTGAAAACTAGACAGAAGCATTCTCAGAAACTTATTTGTCATGTGCGCCCTCAACTAACAGTGTTGAACCTTTCTTTTGATAGAGCAGTTTTGATACACTCTTTTTGTAAAATCCGCAAGAGGATATTTGGATAGCTTTGAGGATTACGTTGGAAACGGGATTGTCTTCATATAGAATCTAGACAGAAGCATTCTCAGAAGCGTCATTGGGATGTTTCAATTGAAGTCACAGTGTTGAACAGTCCCTTTCATAGAGCAGGTTTGAAACACTCTTTTTGTAGTATCTGGATGTGGACATTTGGAGCGCTTTCAGGCCTATGGTTTAAAAGGAAATATCTTCCCTTGAAAACTAGACAGAAGCATTCTCAGAAACTTATTTGTGATGTGCGCCCTCAACTAACAGTGTTGAAGCTTTCTTTTGATAGAGCAGTTTTGAAACACTCTTTTTGTGGAATCTGCAAGTGGATATTTGTCTAGCTTTGAGGATTTCGTTGGAAACGGGATTACATATAAAAAGCAGACAGCAGCATTCTCAGAAACTTATTTGTGATGTGCGCCCTCAACTAACAGTGTTGAAGCTTTATTTTGATAGAGCAGTTTTGAAACACTCTTTTTGTAATATCTGCAAGAGAATATTTGGATAGCTTTGAGGATTTCGTTGGAAACGGGATTGTCTTCATATAAACTCTAGAAAGAAGCATTCTCAGAAGCTTCATTGGGATGTTTCAATTGAAGTCACAGTGTTGAACAGTCCCTTTCATAGAGCAGGTTTGAAACACTCTTTTTGTAGTATCTGGAAGTGGACATTTGGAGCGCTCTCAGGACTACGGTGATAAAGGAAATATCTTCCAATAAAAGCTAGATAGAAGCAATGTCAGAAACTTTTTCATGATGTATCTACTCAGCTAAAAGAGTTGAACCTTTCTTTTGAAAGAGCAGTTTTGAAACACTCTTTTTGTGGAATCTGCAAGTGGATATTTGTCTAGCTTTGAGGATTTCGTTGGAAACGGGATTACATATAAAAAGCAGACAGCAGCATTCCCAGAAACTTCTTTGTGAAGTTTGCATTGAAGTCACAGAGTTGAACATTCCCTTTCATAGAGCAGGTTTGAAACACTCTTTTTGTAGTATCTGTATGTGGACATTTGCAGCGCTTTCAGGCCTATGGTGAAAAAGGAAATATCTTCCCCTGAAAACTAGACAGAAGCATTCTCAGAAACTTATTTGTGATGTGCGCCCTCAACTAACAGTGTTGAAGCTTTCTTTTGATAGAGCAGTTTTCAAACACTCTTTTTGTAAAATCTGCAAGAGGATATTTGGATAGTTTTGAGGATTTCGTTGGAAACAGGATTGTCTTCATATAAACTCTAGACAGTAGCATTCTCAGAAGCTTCATTGGGATGTTTCAATTGAAGTCACAGTGTTGAACAGTCCCTTTCATAGAGCAGGTTTGAAACACTCTTTTTGTAGTATCTGGATGTGGACATTTGGAGCGCTTTCAGGCCTATGGTGAAAAAGGAAATATCTTCCCCTGAAAACTAGACAGAAGCATTCTCAGAAACTTATTTGTGATGTGCGCTTTCAACTAACAGTGTTGAAGCATTCTTTTGATAGAGCAGTTTTGAAACACTCTTTTTGTGGAATCTGCAAGTGGATATTTGTCTAGCTTTGAGGATTTCGTTGGAAACGGGATTACATATAAAAAGCAGACAGCAGCATTCTCAGAAACTTATTTGTGATGTGCGCCCTCAACTAACAGTGTTGAAGCTTTATTTTGATAGAGCAGTTTTGAAACACTCTTTTTGTAATATCTGCAAGAGAATATTTGGATAGCTTTGAGGATTTCGTTGGAAACGGGATTGTCTTCATATAAACTCTAGAAAGAAGCATTCTCAGAAGCTTCATTGGGATGTTTCAATTGAAGTCACAGTGTTGAACAGTCCCTTTCATAGAGCAGGTTTGAAACACTCTTTTTGTAGTATCTGGAAGTGGACATTTGGAGCGCTCTCAGGACTGCGGTGAAAAAGGAAATATCTTCCAATAAAAGCTAGATAGAAGCAATATCAGAAACTTTTTCATGATGTATCTACTGAGCTAAAAGAGTTGAACCTTTCTTTTGAGAGAGCAGTTTTGAAACACTCTTTTTGTGGAATCTGCAAGTGGATATTTTTCTAGATTTGAGGATTGCGTTGGAAACGGGATTACATATAAAAAGCAGACAGCAGCATTCCCAGAAACTTCTTTGTGATGTTTGCATTCAAGTCACAGAGTTGAACATTCCCTTTCATAGAGCAGGTTTGAAACACTCTTTTTGTAGTATCTGGATGTGGACATTTGCAGCGCTTTCAGGCATAAGGTGAAAAAGGAAATATCTTCCCCTGAAAACTAGACAGAAGCATTCTCAGAATCTTATTTGTGATGTGCGCCCTCAACTAACAGAGTTGAAGCTTTCTTTTGATAGAGCAGTTTTGAAACACTCTTTTTGTAAAATCTGCAAGAGGATATTTGGATAGCTTTGAGGATTTCGTTGGAAACGGGATTGTCTTCATATAAACTCTAGACAGAAGCATTCTCAGAAGCTTCATTGGGATGTTTCAACTGAAGTCACAGTGTTGAACAGTCCCTTTCATAGAGCAGGTTTGAAACACTCTTTTTGTAGTATCTGGAAGTGGACATTTGGAGCGCTCTCAGGACTATGGTGAAAAAGGAAATATCTTCCTATAAAAGCTACATAGAAGCATTCTCAGAAACTTATTTGTGATGTGCGCCCTCAACTAACAGTGTTGAACCTTTCTTTTGATAGAACAGTTTTGAAACACTCTTTTTGTAATATCTGCAAGAGGATATTTGGATAGCTTTGAGGATTTCGTTGGAAACGGGATTAATTATAAAAAGCAGACAGCAGCATTCTCAGAAACTTATTTGTGATGTGCGCCCTCAACTAACAGTGTTGAAGCTTTCTTTTGATAGAGCAGTTTTGAAACACTCTTTTTGTAATATCTGCAAGAGGATATTTGGATAGCTTTGAGGATTTCGTTGGAAACGGGATTAATTATACAAAGCAGACAGCTGCATTCTCAGAAGCTTCATTGGGATGTTTCAATTGAAGTCACAGTGTTGAACAGTCCCTTTCATAGAGCAGGTTTGAAACAATCTTTTTGTAGCATCTGGAAGTGGACATTTGGAGCGTTCTCAGGACTACGGTGAAAAAGGAAATATCTTCCAATAAAAGCTAGATAGAAGCAATGTCAGAAACTTTTTCATGATGTATCTACTCAGCTAAAAGAGTTGAACCTTTCTTTTGAGAGAGCAGTTTTGAAACACTATTTTTGTGGAATCTGCAAGTGGATATTTGTCTAGCTTTGAGGATTTCGTTGGAAAAGGGATTACATAGAAAAAGCAGACAGCAGCATTCCCAGAAACTTCTTTCTGATGTTTGCATTCAAGTCACAGAGTTGAACATTCCCTTTCATAGAGCAGGTTTGAAACACTCTTTTTGTAGTATCTGGATGTGGACATTTGGAGCGCTCTCAGGCCTATGGTGAAAAAGGAAATATCTTCCGCTGAAAACTAGACAGAAGCATTCTCAGAATCTTATTTGTGATGTGCACCCTCAACTAACAGTGTTGAAGCTTTCTTTTGATAGAGCAGTTTTGAAACACTCTTTTTGTAAAATCTGCAAGAGGATATTTGGATAGCTTTGAGGATTTCGTTGGAAACGGGATTGTCTTCATATAAACTCTAGACAGAAGCATTCTCAGAAGCTTCATTGGGATGTTTCAATTGAAGTTGCAGTGTTGAACAGTCCCTTTCATAGAGCAGGTTTGAAACACTCTTTTTGTAGTATCTGGATGTGGACATTTGGAGCGCTTTCAGGCCTATGGTTTAAAAGGAAATATCTTCCCCTGAAAACTAGACAGAAGCATTCTCAGAAACTTATTTGTGATGTGCGCCCTCAACTAACAGTGTTGAAGCATTCTTTTGATAGAGCAGTTTTGAAACACTCTTTTTGTGGAATCTGCAAGTGGATATTTGTCTAGCTTTGAGGATTTCGTTGGAAACGGGATTACATATAAAAAGCAGACAGCAGCATTCTCAGCAAACTTATTTGTGATGTGCGCCCTCAACTAACAGTGTGGAACTTTTCTTTTGATAGAGCAGTTTTGAAACACTCTTTTTGTAAAATCTGCAAGAGGATATTTGGATAGCTTTGAGGATTTCGTTGGAAACGGGATTGTCTTCATATAGAATCTAGACAGAAGCATTCTCAGAAGCTTCATTGGGATGTTTCAATTGAAGTCACAGTGTTGAACAGTCCCTTTCATAGAGCAGGTTTGAAACACTCTTTTTGTAGTATCTGGAAGTGGACATTTGGAGAGATCTCAGGACTACGGTGAAAAAGGAAATATCTTCCAATAAAAGCTAGATAGAAGCAATGTCAGAAACTTTTTCATGATGTATCTACTCAGCTAACAGAGTTGAACCTTTCTTTTGAGAGAGCAGTTTTGAAACACTCTTTTTGTGGAATCTGCAAGTTGATATTTGTCTAGCTTTGAGGATTTCGTTGGAAAAGGGATTACATATAAAAAGCAGACAGCAGCATTCCCAGAAAGTTCTTTGTGAAATTTGCATTCAAGTCACAGACTTGAACATTCCCTTTCATAGAGCAGGTTTGAAACATCTCTTTTTGTAGTATCTGGATGCGGACATTTGGAGCGCTTTCAGGCCTATGGTGAAAAAGGAAATATCTTCCCCTGAAAACTAGACAGAAGCATTCTCAGAATCTTATTTGTGATGTGCGCCCTCAACTAACAGTGTTGAAGCTTTCTTTTGATAGAGCAGTTTTGAAACACTCTTTTCGTAAAATCTGCAAGAGGATATTTTGATAGCTTTGAGGATTTCGTTGGAAACGGGATTGTCTTCATATAAAATCTAGACAGAAGCATTCTCAGAAGCATCATGGGGATGTTTCAATTGAAGTCACAATGTTGAACAGTCCCTTTCATAGAGCAGGATTGAAACACTCTTTTTGTAGTATCTGGATGTGGACATTTGAGCGCTTTCAGGCCTATGGTTTAAAAGGAAATATCTTCCCCTGAAAACTAGACAGAAGCATTCTCAGAAACTTATTTGTGATGTGCGCCCTCAACTAACAGTGTTGAAGCTTTCTTTTGATAGAGCAGTTTTGAAACACTCTTTTTGTGGAATCTGCAAGTGGATATTTGTCTAGCTTTGAGAATTTCGTTTGAAACGGGATTACATATAAAAAGCAGACAGCAGCATTCTCAGAAACTTATTTGTGATGTGCGCCCTCAACTAACAGTGTTGAAGCTTTCTTTTGATAGAGCAGTTTTGAAACACTCTTTTTGTAATATCTGCAAGAGGATATTTGGATAGCTTTGAGGATTTCGTTGGAAACGGGATTAATTATACAAAGCAGACAGCAGCATTCTCAGAAGCTTCATTGGGATGTTTCAATTGAAGTCACAGTGTTGAACAGTCCCTTTCATAGAGCAGGTTTGAAACACTCTTTTTGTAGTATCTGGAAGTGGACATTTGGAGCGCTCTCAGGACTGCGTTGAAAAAGGAAATATCTTCCAATAAAAGCTACATAGAAGCAATGTCAGAAAATTTTTCATGATGTATCTACTCAGCTAACAGAGTTGAACCTTTCTTTGGAGAGAGTAGTTTTGAAACACTCTTTTTGTGGAATCTGCAAGTGGATATTTGTGTAGTTTTGAGGATTGCGTTGGAAACGGTATTACATATAAAAAGCAGACAGCAGCATTCCCAGAAACTTCTTTGTGATGTTTGCATTCAAGTCACAGAGTTGAACATTCCCTTTCATAGAGCAGGTTTGAAACACTCTTTTTGTAGTATCTGGATGTGGACATTTGGAGTGCTTTCAAGCCTATGGTGAAAAAGGAAATATCTTCCCCTGAAAACTAGACAGAAGCATTCTCAGAAACTTATTTGTGATGTGCGCCCTCAACTAACAGTGTTGAACCTTTCTTTTGATAGAGCAGTTTTGAAACACTCTTTTTGTAATATCTGCAAGAGGATATTTGGATAGCTTTGAGGATTTCGTTGGAAACGGGATTGTCTTCATATAAACTCTAGACAGAAGCATTCTCAGAAGCTTCATTGGGATGTTTCAATTGAAGTCACAGTGTTGAACAGTCCCTTTCATAGAGCAGGTTTGAAACACTCTTTTTGTAGTATCTGGATGTGGACATTTGGAGCGCTTTCAGGCCTATGGTGAAAAAGGAAATATCTTCCCCTGAAAACTAGACAGAAGCATTCTCAGAAACTTATTTGTGATGTGCGCCCTCAACTAACAGTGTTGAAGCTTTCTTTTGATAGAGCAGTTTTGAAACACTCTTTTTGTGGAATCTGCAAGTGGATATTTGTCTAGCTTTGAGGATTTCGTTGGAAACGGGATTACATATAAAAAGCAGACAGCTAAGCATTCTCCGAAACTTATTTGTGATGGGCGCCCTCAACTAACAGTGTTGAAGCTTTCTTTTGATAGAGCAGTTTTGAAACACTCTTTTTGTAATATCTGCAAGAGGATATTTGGATAGCTTTCAGGATTTCGTTGGAAACGGGATTGTCTTCATATAAACTCTAGACATAAGCATTCTCAGAAGCTTCATTGGGATGTTTCAATTGAAGTCACAGTGTTGAACAGTCCCTTTCATAGAGCAGGTTTGAAACACTCTTTTTATAGTATCTGGAAGTGGACATTTGGAGAGATCTCAGGAATACGGTGATAAAGGAAATATCTTCCAATAAAAGCTAGATAGAAGCAATGTCAGAAAATTTTTCATGATGTATCTACTCAGCTAACAGAGTTGCACCTTTCTTTTGAGAGAGCAGTTTTGAAACCCTCTTTTTGTGGAATCTGCAAGTGGATATTTGTCTAGCTTTGAGGATTGCGTTGGAAACGGGATTACATATAAAAAGCAGACAGCAGCATTCCCAGAAAACTTCTTTGTGATGTTTGCATTCAAGTCACAGAGTTGAACATTCCCTTTCATAGAGCAGGTTTGAAACACTCTTTTTGTAGTATCTGTATGTGGACATTTGGAGCGCTTTCAGGCCTATGGTGAAAAAGGAAATATCTTCCCCTGAAAACTAGACAGAAGCATTCTCAGAAACTTATTTGTGATGTGCGCCCTCAACTAACAGTGTTGAACCTTTCTTTTGATAGAGCAGTTTTGAAACACTCTTTTTGTAATATCTGCAAGAGGATATTTGGATAGCTTTGAGGATTTCGTTGGAAACGGGATTGTCTTCATATAAACTCTAGACAGAAGCATTCTCAGAAGCTTCATTGGGATGTTTCAATTGAAGTCACAGTGTTGAACAGTCCCTTTCATAGAGCAGGTTTGAAACACTCTTTTTGTAGTATCTGGATGTGGACATTTGGAGCGCTTTCAGGCCTATGGTTTAAAAGGAAATATCTTCCCCTGAAAACTAGACAGAAGCATTCTCAGAAACTTATTTGTGATGTGCGCCCTCAACTAACAGTGTTGAAGCTTTCTTTTGATAGAGCAGTTTTGAAACACTCTTTTTGTAATATCTGCAAGAGGATATTTGGATAGCTTTGAGGATTTCGTTGGAAACGGGATTAATTATAAAAAGCAGACAGCAGCATTCTCAGAAACTTATTTGTGATGTGCGCCCTCAACTAACAGTGTTGAAGCTTTCTTTTGATAGAGCAGTTTTGAAACACTCTTTTTGTAATATCTGCAAGAGGATATTTGGATAGCTTTGAGGATTTCGTTGGAAACGGGATTAATTATACAAAGCAGACAGCAGCATTCTCAGAAGCTTCATCGGGATGTTTCAATTGAAGTCACAGTGTCGAACAGTTCCTTTCATAGAACAGGTTTGAAACACTCTTTTTGTAGTATCTGGAAGTGGACATTTGGAGCGCTCTCAGGACTATGGTGAAAAAGGAAATATCTTCCAATAAAAGCTACATAGAAGCAATGTCAGAAACTTTTTCATGATGTATCTACTCAGCTAACAGAGTTGAACCTTTCTTTTGAGAGAGCAGTTTTGAAACACTCTTCTTGTGGAATCTGCAAGTGGATATTTGTCTAGCTTTGAGGATTTCGTTGGAAACGGGATTACATATAAAAAGCAGATAGCAGCATTCCCAGAAACTTCTTTGTGATGTTTGCATTCAAGTCACAGAGTTGAACATTCCCTTTCATAGAGCAGGTTTGAAACACTCTTTTTGTAGTATCTGGATGTGGACATTTGGAGCGCTTTCAGGCCTATGGTGAAAAAGGAAATATCTTCCCCTGAAAACTAGACAGAAGCATTCTCAGAAACTTATTTGTGATCTGCGCCCTCAACTAACAGTGTTGAACCTTTCTTTTGATAGAGCAGTTTTGAAACACTCTTTTTGTAAAATCTGCAAGAGGATATTTGGATAGCTTTGAGGATTTCGTTGGAAACGGGATTGTCTTCATATGAACTCTACGCAGAAGCATTCTCAGAAGCTTCATTGGGATGTTTCAATTGAAGTCACAGTGTTGAACACTCCCTTTCATAGAGCAGGTTTGAAACACTCTTTTTGTAGTATCTGGATGTGGACATTTGGAGCGCTTTCAGGCCTATGGTTTAAAAGGAAATATCTTCCCCTGAAAACTAGACAGAAGCATTCTCAGTAAACTTATTTGTGATGTGCGCCCTCAACTAACAGTGTTGAACCTTTCTTTTGATAGAGCAGTTTTGAAACACTCTTTTTGTAATATCTGCAAGAGGATATTTGGATAGCTTTGAGGATTTCGTTGGAAACGGGATTACATATAAAAAGCAGACAGCAGCATTCTCAGAAACTTATTTGTGATGTGCGCCCTCAACTAACAGTGTTGAAGCTTTCTTTTGATAGAGCAGTTTTGAAACACTCTTTTTGTAATATCTGCAAGAGGATATTTGGATAGCTTTGAGGATTTCGTTGGAAACGGGATTAATTATACAAAGCAGACAGCAGCATTCTCAGAAGCTTCATTGGGATGTTTCAATTGAAGTCACATGTTGAACAGTTCCTTTCAGAGAACAGGTTTGAAACACTCTTTTTGTAGTATCTGGAAGTGGACATTTGGAGCGCTCTCAGGACTACGGTGAAAAAGGAAATATCTTCCAATAAAAGCTACATAGAAGCAATGTCAGAAACTTTTTCATGATGTATCTACTCAGCTAACAGAGTTGAACCTTTCTTTTGAGAGAGCAGTTTTGAAACACTCTTTTTGTAAAATCTGCAAGAGGATATTTGGATAGCTTTGAGGATTTCGTTGGAAACGGGATTGTGTTCATATAAACTCTAGACAGAAGCATTCTCAGAAGCGTCATTGGGATGTTTCAATTGAAGTCACAGTGTTGAACACTCCCTTTCATAGAGCAGGTTTGAAACACTCTTTTTGTAGTATCTGGATGTGGACATTTGGGGCGCTTTCAGGCCTATGGTTTAAAAGGAAATATCTTCCCCTGAAAACTAGACAGAAGCATTCTCAGAAACTTATTTGTGATGTGCGCCTTCAACTAACAGTGTTGAAGCATTCTTTTGATAGAGCAGTTTTGAAACACTATTTTGTGGAATCTGCAAGTGGATATTTGTCTAGCTTTGAGGATTTCGTTGGAAACGGGATTACATATAAAAAGCAGACAGCAGCATTCTCAGTAAACTTATTTGTGATGTGCGCCCTCAACTAACAGTGTTGAACCTTTCTTTTGATAGAGCAGTTTTGAAACACTCTTTTTGTAATATCTGCAAGAGGATATTTGGATAGCTTTGAGGATTTCGTTGGAAACGGGATTGTCTTCATATAAACTCTAGACAGAAGCATTCTCAGAAGCTTCATTGGGATGTTTCAATTGAAGTCACAGTGTTGAACAGTCCCTGTCATAGAGCAGGTTTGAAACACTCTTTTTGTAGTATCTGGAAGTGGACATTTGGAGCGCTCTCAGGACTACGATGATAAAGGAAATATCTTCCAATAAAAGCTAGATAGAAGCAATGTCAGAAACTTTTTCATGATGTATCTACTCAGCTAACAGAGTTGAACCTTTCTTTTGAGAGAGCAGTTTTGAAACACTCTTTTTGTGGAATCTGCAAGTGGATATTTGTCTAGCTTTGAGGATTTCGTTGGAAACGGGATTACATATAAAAAGCAGACAGCAGCATTCCCAGAAACTTCTTTGTGATGTTTGCATTCAAGTCACAGAGTTGAACATTCCCTTTCAGAGAGCAGGTTTGAAACACTCTTTTTGTAGTATCTGGATGTGGACATTTGGAGCGCTTTCAGGCCTATGTTGAAAAAGGAAATATCTTCCCCTGAAAACTAGACAGAAGCATTCTCAGAATCTTATTTGTGATGTGCGCCCTCAACTAACAGTGTTGAAGCTTTCTTTTGATAGAGCAGTTTTGAAACACTCTTTTTGTAAAATCTGCAAGAGGATATTTGGATAGCTTTGAGGATTTCGTTGGAAACGGGATTGTCTTCATATAAACTCTAGACAGAAGCATTCTCAGAAGCTTCATTGGGATGTTTCAATTGAAGTCACAGTGTTGAACAGTCCCTTTCATAGAGCAGGTTTGAAACACTCTTTTTGTAGTATCTGGATGTGGACATTTGGAGCGCTTTCAGGCCTATGGTGAAAAAGGAAATATCTTCCCCTGAAAACTAGACAGAAGCATTCTCAGAAACTTATTTGTGATGTGCGCAATCAACTAACAGTGTTGAAGCTTTCTTTTGATAGAGCAGTTTTGAAACACTCTTTTTGTGGAATCTGGAAGTGGATATTTGTCTAGCTTTGAGGATTTCGTTGGAAACGGGATTACATATAAAAAGCAGACAGCAGCATTCTCAGAAACTTATTTGTGATGTGCGCCCTCAACTAACAGTGTTGAAGCTTTATTTTGATAGAGCAGTTTTGAAACACTCTTTTTGTAATATCTGCAAGAGAATATTTGGATAGCTTTGAGGATTTCGTTGGAAACGGGATTGTCTTCATATAAACTCTAGAAAGAAGCATTCTCAGAAGCTTCATTGGGATGTTTCAATTGAAGTCACAGTGTTGAACAGTACCTTTCATAGAGCAGGTTTGAAACACTCTTTTTGTAGTATCTGGAAGTGGACATTTGGAGAGATCTCAGGAATACGGTGATAAAGGAAATATCTTCCAATAAAAGCTAGATAGAAGCAATGTCAGAAACTTTTTCATGATGTATCTACTCAGCTAACAGAGTTGAACCTTTCTTTTGAGAGAGCAGTTTTGAAACACTCTTTTTGTGGAATCTGGAAGTGGATATTTGTCTAGCTTTGAGGATTTCGTTGGAAACGGGATTACATATAAAAAGCAGACAGCAGCATTCCCAGAAACTTCTTTGTGATGTTTGCATTCAAGTCACAGAGTTGAACATTCCCTTTCATAGAGCAGTTTTGAAACACTCTTTTTGTAGTATCTGGATGTGGACATTTGGAGCGCTTTCAGGCCTATGGTGAAAAAGGAAATATCTTCCCCTGAAAACTAGACAGAAGCATTCTCAGAATGTTATTTGTTATGTGCACCCTCAACTAACAGTGTTGAAGCTTTCTTTTGATAGAGCAGTTTTGAAACACTCTTTTTGTAAAATCTGCAAGAGGATATTTGGATAGCTTTGAGGATTTCGTTGGAAACGGGATTGTCTTCATATAAACTCTAGACAGGAGCATTCTCAGAAGCTTCATTGGGATGTTTCAATTGAAGTCACAGTGTTGAACAGTCCCTTTGATAGAGCAGGTTTGAAACACTCTTTTTGTAGTATCTGGATGTGGACATTTGCAGCGCTTTCAGGCATAAGGTGAAAAAGGAAATATCTTCCCCTGAAAACTAGACAGAAGCATTCTCAGAAACTTATTTGTGATGTGCGCCCTCAACTAACAGTGTTGAAGCTTTCTTTTGATAGAGCAGTTTTGAAACACTCTTTTTGTGGAATCTGCAAGTGGATATTTGTCTAGCTTTGAGGATTTCGTTGGAAACGGGATTACATATAAAAAGCAGACAGCAGCATTCTCAGAAACTTATTTGTGATGTGCGCCCTCAACTAACAGTGTTGAAGCTTTATTTTGATAGAGCAGTTTTGAAACACTCTTTTTGTAATATCTGCAAGAGAATATTTGGATAGCTTTGAGGATTTCGTTGGAAACGGGATTGTCTTCATATAAACTCTAGAAAGAAGCATTCTCAGAAGCTTCATTGGGATGTTTCAATTGAAGTCACAGTGTTGAACAGTCCCTTTCATAGAGCAGGTTTGAAACACTCTTTTTGTAGTATCTGGAAGTGGACATTTGGAGCGCTCTCAGGACTGCCGTGAAAAAGGAATTATCTTCCAATAAAAGCTAGATAGAAGTAATGTCAGAAACTTTTTCATGATGTATCTACTCAGCTAACAGAGTTGAACCTTTCTTTTGAGAGAGCAGTTTTGAAACACTCTTTTTGTGGAATCTGCAAGTGGATATTTGTCTAGCTTTGAGGATTTCGTTGGAAACGGGATTACATATAAAAAGCAGTCAGCAGCATTCCCAGTAACTTCTTTGTGATGTTTGCATTCAAGTCAGAGAGTTGAACATTCCCTTTCATAGAGCAGGTTTGAAACACTCTTTTTGAAGTATTTGGATGTGGACAATTGGAGCGCTTTCAGGCCTATGGTGAAAAAGGAAATATCTTCCCCTGAAAACTAGACAGAAGCATTCTCAGAAACTTATTTGTGATGTGCGCCCTCAACTAACAGTGTTGAACCTTTCTTTTGATAGAGCAGTTTTGAAACACTCTTTTTGTAATATCTGCAAGAGGATATTTGGATAGCTTTGAGGATTTCCTTGGAAACGGGATTGTCTTCATATAAACTCTAGACAGAAGCATTCTCAGAAGCTTCATTGGGATGTTTCAATTGAAGTCACAGTGTTGAACAGTCCCTTTCATAGAGCAGGTTTGAAACACTCTTTTTGTAGTATCTGGATGTGGACATTTGGAGCGCTTTCAGGCCTATGGTGAAAAAGGAAATATCTTCCCCTGAAAACTAGACAGAAGCATTCTCAGAAACTTATTTGTGATGTGCGCCCTCAACTAACAGTGTTGAAGCTTTCTTTTGATAGAGCAGTTTTGAAACACTCTTTTTGTGGAATCTGCAAGTGGATATTTGTCTAGCTTTGAGGATTTCGTTGGAAACGGGATTACATATAAAAAGCAGACAGCAGCATTCTCAGCAAACTTATTTGTGATGTGCGCCCTCAACTAACAGTGTGGAACTTTTCTTTTGATAGAGCAGTTTTGAAACACTCTTTTTGTAAAATCTGCAAGAGGATATTTGGATAGCTTTGAGGATTTCGTTGGAAACGGGATTGTCTTCATATAGAATCTAGACAGAAGCATTCTCAGAAGCTTCATTGGGATGTTTCAATTGAAGTCACAGTGTTGAACAGTCCCTTTCATAGAGCAGGTTTGAAACACTCATTTTGTAGTATCTGGAAGTGGACATTTGGAGAGATCTCAGGAATACGGTGATAAAGGAAATATCTTCCAATAAAAGCTAGATAGAAGCAATGTCAGAAACTTTTTCATGATGTATCTACTCAGCTAACAGAGGTGAACCTTTCCTTTGAGAGAGCAGTTTTGAAACACTCTTTTTGTGGAATCTGCAAGTGGATATTTGTCTAGCTTTGAGGATTTCGTTGGAAACGGGATTACATATAAAAAGCAGACAGCAGCATTCCCAGAAACTTCTTTGTGTTGTTTGCATTCAAGTCACAGAGTTGAACATTCCCTTTCATAGAGCAGGTTTGAAACACTCTTTTTGTAGTATCTGGATGTGGACATTTGGAGCGCTTTCAGGCCTATGGTGAAAAAGGAAATATCTTCCCCTGAAAACTAGACAGAAGCATTCTCAGAAACTTATTTGTGATGTGCGCCCTCAACTAACACTGTTGAACCTTTCTTTTGATAGAGCAGTTTTGAAACACTCTTTTTGTAATATCTGCAAGAGGATATTTGGATAGCTTTGAGGATTTCGTTGGAAACGGGATTGTCTTCATATAAAATCTAGACAGAAGCATTCTCAGAAGCTTCATTGGGATGTTTCAATTGAAGTCGCAGTGTTGAACAGTCCCTTTCATAGAGCAGGTTTGAAACACTCTTTTTGTAGTATCTGGAAATGGACATTTGGAGAGATCTCAGGAATACGGTGATAAAGGAAATATCTTCCAATAAAAGCTAGATAGAAGCAATATCAGAAACTTTTTCATGATGTATCTACTCAGCTAAAAGAGTTGAACCATTCTTTTGAGAGAGCAGTTTTGAAACACTATTTTTGTGGAATCTGCAAGTGGATATTTGTCTAGCTTTGAGGATTTCGTTGGAAACAGGATTACATATAAAAAGCAGACAGTAGCATTCCCAGAAAGTTCTTTGTGAAATTAGCATTCAAGTCACAGACTAGAACATTCCCTTTCATAGAGCAGGTTTGAAACACTCTCTTTGTAGTATCTGGATGTGGACATTTGGAGCGCTTTCAGGCCTATGGTGAAAAAGGAAATATCTTCCCCTGAAAACTAGACAGAAGCATTCTCAGAATCTTATTTGTGATGTGCGCCCTCAACTAACAGTGTTGAACCTTTCTTTTGATATAGCAGTTTTGAAACACTCTTTTTGTAAAATCTGCAAGAGGATATTTGGATAGCTTTGAGGATTTCGTTGGAAACGGGATTGTCTTCATATAAACTCTAGACAGAAGCATTCTCAGAAGCTTCATTGGGATGTTTCAATTGAAGTCACAGTGTTGAACAGTCCCTTTCATAAAGCAGGTTTGAAACACTCTTTTTGTAGTATCTGGAAGTGGACATTTGGAGCGCTCTCAGGACTACGGTGAAAAAGGAAATATCTTCAAATAAAAGCTAGATAGAAGCAATGTCAGAAACTTTTTCAGGATGTATCTACTCAGCTAACAGTGTTGAACCTTTCTTTTGAGAGAGCAGTTTTGAAACACTCTTTTTGTGGAATCTGGAAGTGGATATTTGTCTAGCTTTGAGGATTTCGTTGGAAACGGGATTACATATAAAAAGCAGACAGCAGCATTCCCAGAAACTTCTTTGTGATATTTGCATTGAAGTCACAGACTTGAACATTCCGTTTCATAGAGCAGGTTTGAAACACTCTTTTTGTAGTATCTGGATGTGGACATTTGGAGCGCTTTCAGGCCTATGGTGAAAAAGGAAATATCTTCCTCTGAAAACTAGACAGAAGCATTCTCAGAAACTTATTTGTCATGTGCGCCCTCAACTAACAGTGTTGAACCTTTCTTTTGATAGAGCAGTTTTGATACACTCTTTTTGTAAAATCCGCAAGAGGATATTTGGATAGCTTTGAGGATTTCGTTGGAAACGGGATTGTCTTCATATTAACCCTAGACAGTAGCATTCTCAGAAGGTCCTTTGGGATGTTTCAATTGAAGTCACAGTGTTGAACAGTCACTTTCATAGAGCAGGTTTGAAACACTCTTTTTGTAGTATCTGGAAGTGGACATTTGGAGCGCTCTCAGGACTACGGTGAAAAAGGAAATATCTTCCAAATAAAGCTAGATACAAGCAATGTCAGAAAATTTCTCATGATGTATCTATTCAGCTAACAGAGTTGAACCTTTCTTTTGACAGAGCAGTTTTGAAACACTCTTTTTGTGGAATCTGCAAGTGGATATTTGTCTAGCTTTGAGGATTTCGTTGGAAACGGGATTACATATAAAAAGCAGACAGCAGCATTCCCAGTAACTTCTTTGTGATGTTTGCATTCAAGTCACAGAGTTGAACATTCCCTTTCATAGAGCAGGTTTGAAACACTCTTTTTGTAGTATCTGGATGTGGACATTTGGAGCGCTTTCAGGCCTATGGTTTAAAAGGAAGTATCTTCCCCTGAAAACTAGACAGAAGCATTCTCAGAAACTTATTTGTGATGTGCGCCCTCAACTAACAGTGTTGAACCTTTCTTTTGATAGAGCAGTTTTGAAACACTCTTTTTGTAAAATCTGCAAGAGGATATTCGCATAGCTTTGAGGATTTCGTTGGAAACGGGATTGTCTTCATATAAAATCTAGACAGAAGCATTCTCAGAAGCTTCGTTGGGATGTTTCAATTGAAGTCACAGTGTTGAACAGTTCCTTTCATAGAACAGGTTTGAAACACTCTTTTTGTAGTATCTGGAAGTGGACATTTGGAGCGCTCTCAGGACTGCGGTGAAAAAGGATATATCTTCCAATAAAAGCTAGATAGAAGCAATGTCAGAAACTTTTTCATGATGTATCTACTCAGCTAACAGAGTTGAACCTTTCTTTTGAGAGAGCAGTTTTGAAACACTCTTTTTGTGGAATCTGCAAGTGGATATTTGTCTAGCTTTGAGGATTTCGTTGGAAACGGGATTACATATAAAAAGCAGACAGCAGCATTCCCAGCAAACTTCTTTGTGATGTTTGCATTCAAGTCACAGAGTTGAACATTCCCTTTCATAGAGCAGGTTTGAAACACTCTTTTTGTAGTATCTGGATGTGGACATTTGCAGCGCTTTCAGGCATAAGGTGAAAAAGGAAATATCTTCCCCTGAAAACTAGACAGAAGCATTCTCAGAAACTTATTTGTGATGTGCGCCCTCAACTAACAGTGTTGAAGCTTTCTTTTGATAGAGCAGTTTTGAGACACTCTTTTTGTAAAATCTGCAAGAGGATATTTGGATAGCTTTGAGGATTTCGTTGGAAACGGGATTGTCTTCATATAAACTCTAGACAGAAGCATTCTCAGAAGCTTCATTGGGATGTTTCAATTGAAGTCACAGTGTTGAACAGTCCCTTTCATAGAGCAGGTTTGAAACACTCTTTTTGTAGTATCTGGATGTGGACATTTGGAGCGCTTTCGGGCCTATGGTGAAAAAGGAAATATCTTCCCCTGAAAACTAGACAGAAGCATTCTCAGAAACTTATTTGTGATGTGCGCCCTCAACTAACAGTGTTGAAGCTTTCTTTTGATAGAGCAGTTTTGAAACACTCTTTTTGTAATATCTGCAAGAGGATATTTGGATAGCTTTGAGGATTTCGTTGGAAACGGGATTAATTATAAAA
This sequence comes from Homo sapiens, assembly GCF_000001405.40. NCBI lineage: Eukaryota > Metazoa > Chordata > Mammalia > Primates > Hominidae > Homo > Homo sapiens. The sequence continues at coordinate 93,746,220 of NC_000002.12, forward strand.
AGCAGACAGCAGCATTCTCAGAAACTTATTTGTGATGTGCGCCCTCAACTAACAGTGTTGAAGCTTTCTTTTGATAGAGCAGTTTTGAAACACTCTTTTTGTAATATCTGCAAGAGGATATTTGGATAGCTTTGAGGATTTCGTTGGAAACGGGATTAATTATACAAAGCAGACAGCAGCATTCTCAGAAGCTTCATTGGGATGTTTCAATTGAAGTCACAGTGTTGAACAGTCCCTTTCATAGAGCAGGTTTGAAACACTCTTTTTGTAGTATCTGGAAGTGGACATTTGGAGCGCTCTCAGGACTGCGGTGAAAAAGGAAATATCTTCCAATAAACGCTAGATAGAAGCAATGTCAGAAACTTTTTCATGATGTATCTACTCAGCTAACAGAGTTGAACCTTTCCTTTGAGAGAGCAGTTTTGAAACACTCTTTTTGTGTAATCTGCAAGTGGATGTTTGTCTAGCTTTGAGGATTTCGTTGGAAACGGGTTTACATATAAAAAGCAGACAGCAGCATTCCCAGAAACTTCTTTGTGATGTTTGCATTCAAGTCACACAGTTGAACATTCCCTTTCATAGAGCAGGTTTGAAACACTCTTTTTGTAGTATCTGGATGTGGACATTTGGAGCGCTTTCAGCCCTATGGTGAAAAAGGAAATATCTTCTCCTGAAAACTAGACAGAAGCATTCTCAGAATCTTATTTGTGATGTGCGCCCTCAACTCACAGTGTTGAAGCTTTCTTTTGATAGAGCAGTTTTGAAACCCTCTTTTCGTAAAATCTGCAAGAGGATATTTTGATAGCTTTGAGGATTTCGTTGGAAACGGGATTGTCTTCATATAAACTCTAGACAGAAGCATTCTCAGAAGCTTCATTGGGATGTTTCAATTAAAGTCACAGTGTTGAACAGTCCCTTTCATAGAGCAGGTTTGAAACACTCTTTTTGTAGTATCTTGAAGTGGACATTTGGAACGCTCTCAGGACTGCGGTGAAAAAGGAAATATCTTCCAATAAAAGCTAGATAGAAGCAATGTCAGAAACTTTTTCATGATGTATCTACTCAGCTAACAGAGTTGAACCTTCATTTGAGAGAGCAGTTTTGAAACACTCGTTTTGTGGAATCTGCAAGTGGATATTTGTCTAGCTTTGAGGATTTCGTTGGAAACGGGATTACATATAAAAAGCAGACAGCAGCATTCCCAGTAACTTCTTTGTGATGTTTGCATTCAAGTCACAGAGTTGAACATTCCCTTTCATAGAGCAGGTTTGAAACACTCTTTTTGTAGTATCTGGATGTGGACATTTGGAGCGCTTTCAGGCCTATGGTGAAAAAGGAAATATCTTCCCCTGAAAACTAGACAGAAGCATTCTCAGAAACTTATTTGTGATGTGCGCCCTCAACTAACAGTGTTGAACCTTTCTTTTGATAGAGCAGTTTTGAAACACTCTTTTTGTAATATCTGCAAGAGGATATTTGGATAGCTTTGAGGATTTCGTTGGAAACGGGATTGTCTTCATATAAACTCTAGACAGAAGCATTCTCAGAAGCTTCATTGGGATGTTTCAATTGAAGTCACAGTGTTGAACAGTCCCTTTCATAAAGCAGGTTTCAAACACTCTTTTTGTAGTATCTGGATGTGGACATTTGGAGCGCTTTCAGGCCTATGGTTTAAAAGGAAATATCTTCCCCTGAAAACTAGACAGAAGCATTCTCAGAATCTTATTTGTGATGTGCCCCCTCAACTAACAGTGTTGAAGCATTCTTTTGATAGAGCAGTTTTGAAACACTCTTTTTGTGGAATCTGCAAGTGGATATTTGTCTAGCTTTGAGGATTTCGTTGGAAACGGGATTACATATAAAAAGCAGACAGCAGCATTCTCAGAAACTTATTTGTGATGTGCGCCCTCAACTAACAGTGTTGAAGCTTTATTTTGATAGAGCAGTTTTGAAACACTCTTTTTGTAATATCTGCAAGAGAATATTTGGATAGCTTTGAGGATTTCGTTGGAAACGGGATTGTCTTCATATAAACTCTAGAAAGAAGCATTCTCAGAAGCTTCATTGGGATGTTTCAATTGAAGTCACAGTGTTGAACAGTCCCTTTCATAGAGCAGGTTTGAAACACTCTTTTTGTAGTATCTGGAAGTGGACATTTGGAGACTTCTCAGGAATACGGTGAAAAAGGAAATATCTTCCAATAAAAGCTAGATAGAAGCAATGTCAGAATCTTTTTCATGATGTATCTACTCAGGTAACAGAGTTGAACCTTTCTTTTGAGAGAGCAGTTTTGAAACACTCTTTTTGTGGAATCTGCAAGTGGATATTTGTCTAGCTTTGAGGATTTCGTTGGAAACGGGATTACATATAAAAAGCAGACAGCAGCATTCCCAGAAACTTCTTTGTGATGTTTGCATTCAAGTCACAGAGTTGAACATTCCCTTTCATAGAGCAGGTTTGAAACACTCTTTTTGTAGTATCTGGATGTGGACATTTGGAGCGCTCTCAGGCCTATGGTTGAAACGGAAATATCTTCCCCTGAAAACTAGACAGAAGCATTCTCAGAATCTTATTTGTGATGTGCGCCCTCAACTAACAGTGTTGAAGCTTTCTTTTGATAGAGCAGTTTTGAAACACTCTTTTTGTAAAATCTGCAAGAGGATATTTGGATAGCTTTGGGGATTTCGTTGGAAACGGGATTGTCTTCATATAAACTCTAGACAGAAGCATTCTCAGAAGCATCATGGGGATGTTTCAATTGAAGTCACAATGTTGAACAGTCCCTTTCATAGAGCAGGTTTGAAACACTCTTTTTGTAGTATCTGGATGTGGACATTTGAGCGCTTTCAGGCCTATGGTGAAAAAGGAAATATCTTCCCCTGAAAACTAGACAGAAGCATTCTCAGAAACTTATTTGTGATGTGCGCCCTCAACTAACAGTGTTGAACCTTTCTTTTGATAGAGCAGTTTTGAAACACTCTTTTTGTAATATCTGCAAGAGGATATTTGGATAGCTTTGAGGATTTCGTTGGAAACGGGATTACATATAAAAAGCAGACAGCAGCATTCTCAGAAACTTATTTATGATGTGCGCCCTCAACTAACAGTGTTGAAGCTTTCTTTTGATAGAGCAGTTTTGAAACATTCTTTTTGTAAAATCTGCAAGAGTATATTTGGATAGCTTTGAGGATTTTGTTGGAAACGGGATTGTATTCATATTAACCATAGACAGTATCATTCTCAGAAGCTTCATTGGGATGTTTCAATTGAAGTCACAGTGTTGAACAGTCCCTTTCATAGAGCAGGTTTGCAACACTCTTTTTGTAGCATCTGGAAGTGGACATTTGGAGCGTTCTCAGGACTACGGTGAAAAAGGAAATATCTTCCAATAAAAGCTAGATAGAAGCAATGTCAGTAAACTTTTTCATGATGTATCTACTCAGCTAACAGAGTTGAACCTTTCTTTTGAGAGAGCAGTTTTGAAACACTCTTTTTGTGGAATCTGCAAGTGGATATTTGTCTAGTTTTGAGGATTTCGTTGGAAACGGGATTACATATAAAAAGCAGACAGCAGCATTCCCAGAAACTTCTTTGTGTTGTTTGCATTCAAGTCACAGAGTTGAACATTCCCTTTCATAGAGCAGGTTTGAAACACTCTTTTTGTAGTATCTGGATGTGGACATTTGCAGCGCTTTCAGGCCTAAGGTGAAAAAGGAAATATCTTCCCCTGAAAACTAGACAGAAGCATTCTCAGAATCTTATTTGTGATGTGCGCCCTCAACTAACAGTGTTGAAGCTTTCTTTTGATAGAGCAGTTTTGAAACACTCTTTTTGTAAAATCTGCAAGAGGATATTTGGATAGCTTTGAGGATTTCGTTGGAAACGGGATTGTCTTCATATAAACTCTAGACAGAAGCATTCTCAGAAGCTTCATTGGGATGTTTCAATTGAAGTCACAGTGTTGAACAGTCCCTTTCATAGAGCAGGTTTGAAACACTCTTTTTGTAGTATCTGGATGTGGACATTTGGAGCGCTTTCAGGCCTTTGGTGAAAAAGGAAATATCTTCCCCTGAAAACTAGACAGAAGCATTCTCAGAAACTTATTTGTGATGTGCGCCCTCAACTAACAGTGTTGAAGCTTTCTTTTGATAGAGCAGTTTTGAAACACTCTTTTTGTGGAATCTGCAAGTGGATATTTGTCTAGCTTTGAGGATTTCGTTGGAAACGGGATTACATATAAAAAGCAGACAGCAGCATTCCCAGAAACTTCTTTGTGATGTTTGCATTCAAGTCACAGAGTTGAACATTCCCTTTTATAGAGCAGGTTTGAAACACTCTTTTTGTAGTATCTGGATGTGGACATTTGAAGCGCTTTCAGGCCTATGGTGAAAAAGGAAATATCTTCCCCTGAAAACTAGACAGAAGCATTCTCAGAAGCTTCATTGGGATGTTTCAATTGAAGTCACAGTGTTGAACAGTTCCTTTCATAGAACAGGTTTGAAACACTCTTTTTGTAGTATCTGGAAGTGGACATTTGGAGCGCTCTCAGGACTATGGTGAAAAAGGAAATATCTTCCAATAAAAGCTACATAGAAGCAATGTCAGAAACTTTTTCATGATGTATCTACTCAGCTAACAGAGTTGAACCTTCCTTTGAGAGAGCAGTTTTGAAACACTCGTTTTGTGGAATCTGCAAGTGGATATTTGTCTAGCTTTGAGGATTTCGTTGGAAACGGGATTACATATAAAAAGCAGACAGCAGCATTCCCAGAATCTTGTTTGTGATGTTTGCATTCAAGTCACAGAGTTGAACATTCCCTTTCAGAGAGCAGGTTTGAAACACTCTTTTTATAGTGTCTGGATGTGAACATTTTGAGCGCTTTCAGGCCTATGGTGAATAAGGAAATATCTTCTCCTGAAAACTAGACAGAAGCATTCTCAGAATCTTATTTGTGATGTGCGCCCTCAACTAACAGTGTTGAAGCTTTCTTTTGATAGAGCAGTTTTGAAACACTCTTTTTGTAAAATCTGCAAGAGGATATTTGGATAGCTTTGAGGATTTCTTTGGAAACGGGATTGTCTTCATATAAACTCTAGACAGAAGCATTCTCAGAAGCTTCATTGGGATGTTTCAATTGAAGTCACAGTGTTGAACAGTCCCTTTCATAGAGCAGGTTTGAAACACTCTTTTTGTAGTATCTGGAAGTGGACATTTGGAGAGATCTCAGGAATACGGTGATAAAGGAAATATCTTCCAATAAAAGCTAGATAGAAGCAATGTCAGAAACTTTTTCATGATGTATCTACTCAGCTAACAGAGTTGAACCTTTCTTTTGAGAGAGCAGTTTTGAAACACTCTTTTTGTGTAATCTGAAAGTGGATATTTGTCTAGCTTTGAGGATTTCGTTGGAAACGGGATTACATATAAAAAGCAGACAGCAGCATTCCCAGAAACTTCTTTGTGATGTTTGCATTCAAGTCACAGAGTTGAACATTCCCTTTCAGAGAGCAGGTTTGAAACACTCTTTTTGTAGTATCTGGATGTGGACATTTGGAGCGCTTTCAGGCCTATGGTGAAAAAGGAAATATCTTCCCCTGAAAACTAGACAGAAGCATTCTCAGAATCTTATTTGTGATGTGCGCCCTCAACTAACTATGTTGAAGCTTTCTTTTGATAGAGCAGTTTTGAAACACTCTTTTTGTAAAATCTGCAAGAGGATATTTGGATAGCTTTGAGGATTTCGTTGGAAACGGGATTGTCTTCATATAAACTCTAGACAGAAGCATTCTCAGAAGCTTCATTGGGATGTTTCAATTGAAGTCACAGTGTTGAACAGTCCCTTTGATAGAGCAGGTTTGAAACACTCTTTTTGTAGTATCTGGATGTGGACATTTGCAGCGCTTTCAGGCATAAGGTGAAAAAGGAAATATCTTCCCCTGAAAACTAGACAGAAGCATTCTCAGAAACTTATTTGTGATGTGCGCCCTCAACTAACAGTGTTGAAGCTTTCTTTTGACAGAGCAGTTTTGAAACACTCTTTTTGTGGAATCTGCAAGTGGATATTTGTCTAGCTTTGAGGATTTCGTTGGAAACGGGATTACATATAAAAAGCAGACAGCAGCATTCTCAGAAACTTATTTGTGATGTGCGCCCTCAACTAACAGTGTTGAACCTTTCTTTTGATAGAGCCGTTTTGAAACACTCTTTTTGTGAAATCTGCAAGAGGATATTTGGATAGCTTTGAGGATTTCGGTGGAAATGGGATTGTCTTCATATAAACTCTAGACAGTAGCATTCTCAGAAGCTTCATTGGGATGTTTCAATTGAAGTCACAGTGTTGAACAGTCCCTTTCATAGAGCAGGTTTGAAACACTCTTTTTGTAGTATCTGGAAGTGGACATTTGGAGAGATCTCAGGAATACGGTGATAAAGGAAATATCTTCCAATAAAAGCTAGATAGAAGCAATGTCAGAAAATTTTTCATGATGTATCTACTCAGCTAACAGAGTTGAACCTTTCTTTTGAGAGAGCAGTTTTGAAACACTCTTTTTGTGGAATCTGCAAGTGGATATTTGTCTAGCTTTGAGGATTTCGTTGGAAACGGGATTACGTATAAAAAGCAGACAGCAGCATTCCCAGAAACTTCATTGTGATGTTTGCATTCAAGTCACAGAGTTGAACATTCCCTTTCATAGAGCAGGTTTGAAACACTCTTTTTGTAGTATCTGGATTTGGACATTAGGAGCGCTTTCAGGCCTATGGTGAAAAAGGAAATATCTTCCACTGAAAACTAGACAGAAGTAGTCTCAGAAACTTATTTGTGATGTGCGCCCTCAACTAACAGTGTTGAAGCTTTCTTTTGATAGAGCAGTTTTGAAACATTCTTTTTGTAAAATCTGCAAGAGGATATTTGGATAGCTTTGAGGATTTCTTTGGAAACGGGATTGTCTTCATATTAACCCTAGACAGTAGCATTCTCAGAAGCTTCATTGGGATGTTTCAATTGAAGTCACAGTGTTGAACAGTCCCTTTCATAGAGCAGGTTTGAAACACTCTTTTTGTAGCATCTGGAAGTGGACATTTGGAGCGTTCTCAGGACTACGGTGAAAAAGGAAATATCTTCCAATAAAAGCTAGATAGAAGCAATGTCAGAAACTTCTTCATGATGTATCTACTCAGCTAAAAGAGTTGAACCTTTCTTTTGAGAGAGCAGTTTTGAAACACTCTTTTTGTGGAATCTGCAAGTGGATATTTGTCTAGCTTTGAGGATTTCGTTGGAAACGGGATTACATATAAAAAGCAGACAGCCAGCATTCCCAGTAACTTCTTTGTGATGTTTGCATTCAAGTCACAGTAGTTGAACATTCCCTTTCATAGAGCAGGTTTGAAACACTCTTTTTGAAGTATCTGGTTGTGGACATTTGGAGCGCTTTCAGGCCTATGGTGAAAAAGGAAATATCTTCCCCTGAAAACTAGACAGAGCATTCTCAGAAACTTATTTGTGATGTACTCCCTCAACTAACAGTGTTGAACCTTTCTTTTGATAGAGCAGTTTTGAAACACTCTTTTTGTAATATCTGCAAGAGTATATTTGGATAGCTTTGAGGATTTCGTTGGAAACGGGATTGTCTTCATATAAACTCTAGACAGAAGCATTCTCAGAAGCTTCATTGGGATGTTTCAATTGAAGTCACAGTGTTGAACAGTCCCTTTCATAGAGCAGGTTTGAAACACTCTTTTTGTAGTATCTGGATGTGGACATTTGGAGCGCTTTCAGGCCTATGGTTTAAAAGGAAATATCTTCCCCTGAAAACTAGACAGAAGCATTCTCAGAAACTTATTTGTGATGTGCGCCCTCAACTAACAGTGTTGAAGCTTTCTTTTGATAGAGCAGTTTTGAAACACTCTTTTTGTGGAATCTGCAAGTGGATATTTGTCTAGCTTTGAGGATTTCGTTGGAAACGGGATTACATATAAAAAGCAGACAGCAGCATTCTCAGAAACTTATTTGTGATGTGCGCCCTCAACTAACAGTGTTAAACCTTTCTTTTGATGGAGTAGTTTTGAAACACTCTTTTTGTAAAATCTGCAAGAGGATATTTGGATAGCTTTGAGGATTTTGTTGGAAACGGGATTGTCTTCATATAAACTCTAGACAGAAGCATTCTCAGAAGCTTCATTGGGATGTTTCAGTTGAAGTCACAGTGTTGAACAGTCCCTTTCATAGAGCATGTTTGAAACACTCTTTTTGTAGTATCTGGAAGTTGACATTTGGAGCTTTTTCAGGACTACGGTGAAAAAGGAAATATCTTCCAAATAAAGCTAGATAGAAGCAATGTCAGAAAATTTTTCATTATGTATCTACTCAGCTAACAGAATTTAACCTTTCTTTTGAGAGAGAAGTTTTGAAACACTCTTTTTGTGGAATCTGCAAGTGGATATTTGTCTAGGTTTGAGGATTTCGTTGGAAACCGTATTACATATGAAAAGCAGACAGCAGCATTCCCAGTAAACTTCTTTGTGATGTTTGCATTCAAGTCACAGAGTTGAACATTCCCTTTCATAGAGCAGGTTTGAAACACTCTTTTTGTAGTATCTGGATGTGGACATTTGGATCGCTTTCAGGCCTATGGTGAAAAAGGAAATATGTTCCCCTGAAAACTAGACAGAAGCATTCTCAGAATCTTATTTGTGATGTGCGCCCTCAACTAACAGTGTTGAAGCTTTCTTTTGATAGAGCAGTTTTGAAACACTCTTTTTGTAAAATCTGCAAGAGGATATTTGGATAGCTTTGAGGATTTCTTTGGAAACGGGATTGTCTTCATATAAACTCTAGACAGAGGCATTCCCAGTAAACTTCTTTGTGATGTTTGCATTCAAGTCACAGAGTTGAACATTCCCTTTCATAGAGCAGGTTTGAAACACTCTTTTTGTAGTATCTGGATGTGGACATTTACAGCGCTTTCAGGCCTAAGGTGAAAAAGGAAATATCTTCCCCTGAAAACTAGACAGAAGCATTCTCAGAAACTTATTTGTGATGTGCGCCCTCAACTAACAGTGTTGAAGCTTTCTTTTGATAGAGCAGTTTTGAAAAACTCTTTTTGTGGAATCTGCAAGTGGATATTTGTCTAGCTTTGAGGATTTCGTTGGAAACGGGATTACATATAAAAAGCAGACAGCAGCATTCTCAGAAACTTATTTGTGATGTGCGCCCTCAACTAACAGTGTTGAAGCTTTCTTTTGATAGAGCAGTTTTGAAACACTCTTTTTGTAATATCTGCAAGAGGATATTTGGATAGCTTTGAGGATTTCGTTGGAAACGGGATTAATTATACAAAGCAGACAGCAGCATTCTCAGAAGCTTCATTGGGATGTTTCAATTGAAGTCACAGTGTTGAACAGTCCCTTTCATAGAGCAGGTTTGAAACACTCTTTTTGTAGTATCTGGAAGTGGACATTTGGAGAGATCTCAGGACTACGGTGAAAAAGGAAATATCTTCCAATAAAAGCTAGATAGAAGCAATGTCAGAAACTTTTTCATGATGTATCTACTCAGCTAACAGAGTTGAACCTTCCTTTGAGAGAGCAGTTTTGAAACACTCTTTTTGTGGAATCTGCAAGTGGATATTTGTCTAGCTTTGAGGATTTCGTTGGAAACGGGATTACATATAAAAAGCAGACAGCAGCATTCCCAGAAACTTCTTTGTGATGTTTCCATTCAAGTCACAGAGTTGAAAATTCCCTTTCATAGAGCAGGTTTGAAACACTCTTTTTGTAGTATCTGGATGTGGACATTTGGAGCGCTTTCAGGCCTAAGGTGAAAAAGGAAATATCTTCCCATGAAAACTAGACAGAAGCATTCTCAGAATCTTATTTGTGATGTGCGCCCTCAACTAACAGTGTTGAAGCTTTCTTTTGATAGAGCAGTTTTGAAACACTCTTTTTGTAAAATCTGCAAGAGGATATTTGCATAGCTTTGAGGATTTCGTTGGAAACGGGATTGTCTTCATATAAACTCTAGACAGAAGCATTCTCAGAAGCTTCATTGGGATGTTTCAATTGAAGTCACAGTGTTGAACAGTCCCTTTCATAGAGCAGGTTTGAAACACTCTTTTTGTAGTATCTGGATGTGGACATTTGGAGCGCTTTCAGGCCTATGGTGAAAAAGGAAATATCTTCCCCTGAAAACTAGACAGAAGCATTCTCAGAAACTTATTTGTGATGTGCGCCCTCAACTAAGAGTGTTGAAGCATTCTTTTGATAGAGCAGTTTTGAAACACTCTTTTTGTGGAATCTGCAAGTGGATATTTGTCTAGCTTTGAGGATTTCGTTGGAAACGGGATTAATTATAAAAAGCAGACAGCTAAGCATTCTCCGAAACTTATTTGTGATGGGCGCCCTCAACTAACAGTGTTGAAGCTTTCTTTTGATAGAGCAGTTTTGAAACACTCTTTTTGTAATATCTGCAAGAGGATATTTGGATAGCTTTCAGGATTTCGTTGGAAACGGGATTGTCTTCATATAAACTCTAGACATAAGCATTCTCAGAAGCTTCATTGGGATGTTTCAATTGACGTCACAGTGTTGAACAGTCCCTTTCATAGAGCAGGTTTGAAACACTCTTTTTGTAGCATCTGGAAGTGGACATTTGGAGCGTTCTCAGGACTACGGTGAAAAAGGAAATATCTTCCAATAAAAGCTAGATAGAAGCAATGTCAGAAACTTTTTCATGATGTATCTACTCAGCTAAAAGAGTTGAACCTTTCTTTTGAGAGAGCAGTTTTGAAACACTCTTTTTGTGGAATCTGCAAGTGGATATTTGTCTAGCTTTGAGGATTGCGTTGGAAACGGGATTACATATAAAAAGCAGACAGCAGCATTCCCAGAAACTTCTTTTTGATGTTTGCATTCAAGTCACAGAGTTGAACATTCCCTTTCATAGAGCAGGTTTGAAACACTCTTTTTGTAGTATCTGGATGTGGACATTTGGAGCGCTTTCAGGCCTATGGTGAAAAAGGAAATATCTTCTCCTGAAAACTAGACAGAAGCATTCTCAGAAACTTATTTGTGATGTGCGCCCTCAACTAACAGTGTTGAACCTTTCTTTTGATCGAGCAGTTTTGAAACACTCTTTTTGTAATATCTGCAAGAGGATATTTGGATAGCTTTGAGGATTTCGTTGGAAACGGGATTGTCTTCATATAAACTCTAGACAGAAGCATTCTCAGAAGCTTCATTGGGATGTTTCAATTGAAGTCACAGTGTTGAACAGTCCCTTTCATAGAGCAGGTTTGAAACACTCTTTTTGTAGTATCTGGATGTGGACATTTGGAGCGCTTTCAGGCCTATGGTGAAAAAGGAAATATCTTCCCCTGAAAACTAGACAGAAGCATTCTCAGAAACTTATTTGTGATGTGCGCCCTCAACTAACAGTGTTGAAGCATTCTTTTGATAGAGCAGTTTTGAAACACTCTTTTTGTGGAATCTGCAAGTGGATGTTTGTCTAGCTTTGAGGATTTCGTTGGAAACGGGATTACATATAAAAAGCAGACAGCAGCATTCTCAGAAACTTATTTGTGATGTGCGCCCTCAACTAACAGTGTTGAAGCTTTCTTTTGATAGAGCAGTTTTGAAACACTCTTTTTGTAATATCTGCAAGAGGATATTTGGATAGCTTTGAGGATTTCGTTGGAAACGGGATTAATTATACAAAGCAGACAGCAGCATTCTCAGAAGCTTCATTGGGATGTTTCAATTGAAGTCACAGTGTTGAACAGTCCCTTTCATAGAACAGGTTTGAAACACTCTTTTTGTAGTATCTGGAAGTGGACATTTGGAGAGATCTCAGGAATACGGTGATAAAGGAAATATCTTCCAATAAAAGCTAGATAGAAGCAATGTCAGAAACTTTTTCATGATGTATCTACTCAGCTAACAGAGTTGAACCTTCCTTTGAGAGAGCAGTTTTGAAACACTCGTTTTGTGGAATCTGCAAGTGGATATTTGTCTAGCTTTGAGGATTTCGTTGGAAACGGGATTACATATAAAAAGCAGACAGCAGCATTCCCAGTAACTTCTTTGTGATGTTTGCATTCAAGTCACAGAGTTGAACATTCCCTTTCAGAGAGCAGGTTTGAAACACTCTTTTTGTAGTATCTGGATGTGGACATTTGCAGCGCTTTCAGGCCTATGGTGAAAAAGGAAATATCTTCCCCAGAAAACTAGACAGAAGCATTCTCAGAATCTTATTTGTGATGTGCGCCCTCAACTAACAGTGTTGAAGCTTTCTTTTGATAGAGCAGTTTTGAAACACTCTTTTTGTAAAATCTGCAAGAGGATATTTGGATAGCTTTGAGGATTTCGTTGGAAACGGGATTGTCTTCATATAAACTCCAGACAAAAGCATTCTCAGAAGCTTCATTGGGATGTTTCAGTTGAAGTCACAGTGTTGAACAGTCCCTTTCATAGAGCAGGTTTGAAACACTCTTTTTGTAGTATCTGGAAGTGGACATTTGGAGCGCTCTCAGGACTGCGGTGAAAAAGGAAATATCTTCCAATAAAAGCTAGATAGAAGCAATGTCAGAAACTTTTTCATGATGTATCTACTCAGCTAACAGAGTTGAACCTTCCTTTGAGAGAGCAGTTTTGAAACACTCTTTTTGTGGAATCTGCAAGTGGATATTTGTCTAGCTTTGAGGATTGCGTTGGAAACGGGATTACATATAAAAAGCAGACAGCAGCATTCCCAGCAATCTTGTTTGTGATGTTTGCATTCAAGTCACAGTAGTTGAATATTCCCTTTCAGAGAGCAGGTTTGAAACACTCTTTTTATAGTATCTGGATGTGGACATTTGGAGCGCTTTCAGGCCTATGGTGAAAAAGGAAATATCTTCTCCTGAAATCTAGACAGAAGCATTCTCAGAAACTTATTTGTGATGTGCGCCCTCAACTAACAGTGTTGAACCTTTCTTTTGATAGAGCAGATTTGAAACACTCTTTTTGTAATATCTGCAAGAGGATATTTGGATAGCTTTGAGGATTTCTTTGGAAACGGGATTGTCTTCATATAAACTCTAGACAGAAGCATTCTCAGAAGCTTCATTGGGATGTTTCAATTGAAGTCACAGTGTTGAACAGTCCCTTTCATAGAGCAGGTTTGAAACACTCTTTTTGTAGTATCTGGATGTGGACATTTGGAGCGCTTTCAGGCCTACGGTTTAAAAGGAAATATCTTCCCCTGAAAACTAGACAGAAGCATTCTCAGAAACTTATTTGTGATGTGCGCCCTCAACTAACAGTGTTGAAGCTTTCTTTTGATAGAGCAGTTTTGAAACACTCTTTTTGTAATATCTGCAAGAGGATATTTGGATAGCTTTGAGGATTTCGTTGGAAACGGGATTAATTATAAAAAGCAGACAGCAGCATTCTCAGAATCTTATTTGTGATGTACGCCCTCAACTAACAGTGTTGAACCTTTCTTTTGATAGAGCAGTTTTGAAACACTCTTTTTGTAAAATCTGCAAGAGGATATTTGGATAGCTTTGAGGATTTCGTTGGAAACGGGATTGTCTTCATACAAACTCTAGACAGTAGCATTCTCAGAAGCTTCATTGGGATGATTCTACTGAAGTCACAGTGTTGAACAGTCCCTTTCATAGAGCAGGTTTGAAACACTCTTTTTGTAGTATCTGGAAGTGGACATTTGGAGCGCTCTCAGGACTACGGTGAGAAAGGAAATATGTTCCAATAAAAGCTAGATAGAAGCAATGTCAGAAAATTTTTCATGATGTATCTACTCAGCTAACAGAGTTGAACCTTTCTTTTGAGAGAGCAGTTTTGAAACACTCTTTTTGTGGAATCTGCAAGTGGATATTTGTCTAGTTTGAGGATTTCGTTGGAAACGGGATTACATATTGAAAGCAGACAGCAGGATTCCCAGAATCTTGTTTGTGATGTTTGCATTCAAGTCACAGAGTTGAACATTCCCTTTCATATAGCAGGTTTGAAACACTCTTTTTATAGTATCTGGATGTGGATATTTGGAGCGCTTTCAGGCCTATGGTGAAAAAGGAAATATCTTCTCCTGAAAACTAGACAGAAGCATTCTCAGAATCTTATTTGTGATGTGCGCCCTCAACTAACAGTGTTGAAGCTTTCTTTTGATAGAGCAGTTTTGAAACACTCTTTTTGTAAAATCTGCAAGAGGATATTTGGATAGCTTTGAGGATTTCGTTGGAAACGGGATTGTCTTCATATAAACTCTAGACAGAAGCATTCTCAGAAGCTTCATTGGGATGTTTCAATTGAAGTCACAGTGTTGAACAGTCCCTTTCATAGAGCAGGTTTGAAACACTCTTTTTGTAGTATCTGGATGTGGACATTTGGAGCGCTTTCAGGCCTATGGTTTAAAAGGAAATATCTTCCCCTGAAAACTAGACAGAAGCATTCTCAGAAACTTATTTGTGATGTGCGCCCTCAACTAACAGTGTTGAAGCTTTCTTTTGATAGAGCAGTTTTGAAACACTCTTTTTGTGGAATCTGGAAGTGGATATTTGTCTAGCTTTGAGTATTTCGTTGGAAACGGGATTACATATAAAAAGCAGACAGCAGCATTCTCAGAATCTTATTTGTGATGTGCGCCCTCAACTAACAGTGTTGAAGCTTTCTTTTGATAGAGCAGTTTTGAAACACTCTTTTCGTAAAATCTGCAAGAGGATGTTTTGATAGCTTTGAGGATTTCGTTGGAAACGGGATTGTCTTCATATAAACTCTAGACAGAAGCATTCTCAGAAGCTTCATTGGGATGTTTCAATTGAAGTCACAGTGTTGAACAGTCCCTTTCATAGAGCAGGTTTGAAACACTCTTTTTGTAGTATCTGGAAGTGGACATTTGGAGAGATCTCAGGAATACGGTGATAAAGGAAATATCTTCCAATAAAAGCTAGATAGAAGCAATGTCAGAAAATTTTTCATGATGTATCTACTCAGCTAACAGAGTTGAACCTTTCTTTTGAGAGAGCAGTTTTGAAACACTCTTTTTGTGGAATCTGCAAGTGGATATTTGTCTAGCTTTGAGGATTTCGTTGGAAACGGGATTACATATAAAAAGCAGACAGCAGCATTCCCAGAAACTTCTTTGTGACGTTTGCATTCAAGTCACAGAGTTGAACATTCCCTTTCATAGAGCAGGTTTGAAACACTCTTTTTGTAGTATCTGGATGTGGACATTTGGAGCGCTTTCAGGCCTATGGTGAAAAAGGAAATATCTTCCCCTGAAAACTAGACAGAAGCATTCTCAGAAACTTATTTGTGATGTGCGCCCTCAACTAACACTGTTGAACCTTTCTTTTGATAGAGCAGTTTTGAAACACTCTTTTTGTAATATCTGCAAGAGGATATTTGGATAGCTTTGAGGATTTCGTTGGAAACGGGATTGTCTTCATATAAACTCTAGACAGAAGCATTCTCAGATGCTTCATTGGGATGTTTCAATTGAAGTCACAGTGTTGAACAGTCCCTTTCATAGAGCAGGTTTGAAACACTCTTTTTGTAGTATCTGGATGTGGACATTTGGAGCGCTTTCAGGCCTATGGTGAAAAAGGAAATATCTTCCCCTGAAAACTAGACAGAAGCATTCTCAGAAACTTATTTGTGATGTGCGCCCTCAACTAACAGTGTTGAAGCATTCTTTTGATAGAGCAGTTTTGAAACACTCTTTTTGTGGAATCTGCAAGTGGATATTTGTCTAGCTTTGAGGATTTCGCTGTTAACGGGATTACATATAAAAAGCAGACAGCAGCATTCTCAGCAAACTTATTTGTGATGTGCGCCCTCAACTAACAGTGTGGAACTTTTCTTTTGATAGAGCAGTTTTGAAACACTCTTTTTGTAAAATCTGCAAGAGGATATTTGGATAGCTTTGAGGATTTCGTTGGAAACGGGATTGTCTTCATATAGAATCTAGACAGAAGCATTCTCAGAAGCTTCATTGGGATGTTTCAATTGAAGTCACAGTGTTGAACAGTCCCTTTCATAGAGCAGGTTTGAAACACTCTTTTTGTAGTATCTGGAATTGGACATTTGGAGCGCTCTCAGGACTACGGTGAAAAAGGAAATATCTTCCAATAAAAGCTAGATAGAAGCAATGTCAGAAACTTTTTCATGATCTATCTACTCAGCTAACAGAGTTGAACCTTTCTTTTGAGACAGCAGTTTTGAAACACTCTTTTTGTGGAATCTGCAAGTGGATATTGGTCTAGCTTTGAGGATTTCGTTGGAAACGGGATTACATATAAAAAGCAGACAGCCAGCATTCCCAGAAACTTCTTTGTGATGTTTGCATTAAAGTCACAGAGTTGAACATTCCCTTTCATAGAGCAGGTTTGAAACACTCTTTTTGTAGTATCTGTATGTGGACATTTGGAGCGCTTTCAGGTCTATGGTGAAAAAGGAAATATCTTCCCCTGAAAACTAGACAGAGCATTCTCAGAATCTTATTTGTGATGTGCGCCCTCAACTAACAGTGTTGAAGCTTTCTTTTGATAGAGCAGTTTTGAAACACTCTTTTTGTAAAATCTGCAAGAGGATATTTGGATAGATTTGAGGATTTCGTTGGAAACGGGATTGTCTTCATATAAACTCTAGACAGAAGCATTCTCAGAAGCTTCATTGGGATGTTTCAATTGAAGTCACAGTGTTGAACAGTCCCTTTCATAGAGCAGGTTTGAAACACTCTTTTTGTAGTATCTGGATGTGGACATTTGGAGCGCTTTCAGGCCTATGGTTTAAAAGGAAATATCTTCCCCTGAAAACTAGACAGAAGCATTCTCAGAAACTTATTTGTGATGTGCGCCCTCAACTAACAGTGTTGAAGCTTTCTTTTGATAGAGCAGTTTTGAAACACTCTTTTTGTGGAATCTGCAAGTGGATATTTGTCTAGCTTTGAGGACTTCGTTGGAAACGGGATTACATATAAAAAGCAGACAGCAGCATTCTCAGAAACTTATTTGTGATGTGCGCCCTCAACTAACAGTGTTGAAGCTTTATTTTGATAGAGCAGTTTTGAAACACTCTTTTTGTAATATCTGCAAGAGAATATTTGGATAGCTTTGAGGATTTCGTTGGAAACGGGATTGTCTTCATATAAACTCTAGAAAGAAGCATTCTCAGAAGCTTCATTGGGATGTTTCAATTGAAGTCACAGTGTTGAACAGTCCCTTTCATAGAGCAGGTTTGAAACACTCTTTTTGTAGTATCTGGAAGTGGACATTTGGAGCGCTCTCAGGACTGCGGTGAAAAAGGAAATATCTTCCAATAAAAGCTAGATAGAAGCAATGTCAGAAACTTTTTCATGATGTATCTACTCAGCTAACAGAGTTGAACCTTTCTTTTGAGAGAGCAGTTTTGAAACACTCTTTTTGTGTAATCTGAAAGTGGATATTTGTCTAGCTTTGAGGATTTCGTTGGAAACGGGATTACATATAAAAAGCAGACAGCAGCATTCCCAGTAATCTTGTTTGTGATGTTTGCATTCAAGTCACAGAGTTGAACATTCCCTTTCAGAGAGCAGGTTTGAAACACTCTTTTTATAGTATCTGGATGTGGACATTTGGAGCGCTTTCAGGCCTATGGTGAAAAAGGAAATATCTTCTCCTGAAAACTAGACAGAAGCATTCTCAGAAACTTATTTGTGATGTGCGCCCTCAACTAACAGTGTTGAAGCTTTCTTTTGATAGAGCAGTTTTGAAACACTCTTTTTGTAATATCTGCAAGAGGATATTTGGATAGCTTTGAGGATTTCGTTGGAAACGGGATTGTCTTCATATAAACTCTAGACAGAAGCATTCTCAGAAGCGTCATTGGGATGTTTCAATTGAAGTCACAGTGTTGAACAGTCCCTTTCATAGAGCAGGTTTGAAACACTCTTTTTGTAGTATCTGGATGTGGACATTTGGAGCGCTTTCAGGCCTATGGTTTAAAAGGAAATATCTTCCCCTGAAAACTAGACAGAAGCATTCTCAGAAACTTATTTGTGATGTGCGCCTTCAACTAACAGTGTTGAAGCATTCTTTTGATAGAGCAGTTTTGAAACACTCTTTTTGTGGAATCTGCAAGTGGATATTTGTCTAGCTTTGAGGATTTCGTTGGAAACGGGATTACATATAAAAAGCAGACAGCAGCATTCTCAGTAAACTTATTTGTGATGTGCGCCCTCAACTAACAGTGTTGAACCTTTCTTTTGATAGAGCAGTTTTGAAACACTCTTTTTGTAATATCTGCAAGAGGATATTTGGATAGCTTTGAGGATTTCGTTGGAAACGGGATTGTCTTCATATAAACTCTAGACAGAAGCATTCTGAGAAGCTTCATTGGGATGTTTCAATTGAAGTCACAGTGTTGAACAGTCCCTTACATAGAGCATGTTTGAAACACTCTTTTTGTAGTATCTGGAAGTGGACATTTGGAGCGTTCTCAGGACTACGGTGAAAAAGGAAATATCTTCCAAATAAAGCTAGATAGAAGCAATGTCAGAAACTTTTTCATGATGTATCTACTCAGCTAACAGAGTTGAACCTTTCTTTTGAGAGAGCAGTTTTGAAACACTCTTTTGGTGGAATCTGCAAGTGGATATTTGTCTAGCTTTGAGGATTTCGTTGGAAACGGGATTACATATAAAAAGCAGACAGCAGCATTCCCAGAAACTTCTTTGTGATGTTTGCATTCAAGTCACAGAGTTGAACATTTCCTTTCATAGAACAGGTTTGAAACACTCTTTTTGTAGTATCTGGAAGTGGACATTTGGAGCGCTCTCAGGACTATGGTGAAAAAGGAAATATCTTCCACTAAAAGCTACATAGAAGCATTCTCAGAAACTTATTTGTGATGTGCGCCCTCAACTAACAGTGTTGAAGCTTTCTTTTGATAGAGCAGTTTTGAAACACTCT
Organism: Homo sapiens; assembly: GCF_000001405.40. Lineage (NCBI taxonomy): Eukaryota > Metazoa > Chordata > Mammalia > Primates > Hominidae > Homo > Homo sapiens. Next base: position 93,765,165 of record NC_000002.12, read on the forward strand.
TTTTGTAAAATCTGCAAGAGGATATTTGGATAGCTTTGAGGATTTCGTTGGAAACGGGATTGTCTTCATATAAACTCTAGACAGAAGCATTCTCAGAAGCTTCATTGGGATGTTTCAATTGAAGTCACAGTGTTGAACAGTCCCTTTCATAGAGCAGGTTTGAAACACTCTTTTTGTAGTATCTGGATGTGGACATTTGGAGCGCTTTCAGGCCTATGGTGAAAAAGGAAATATCTTCCCCTGAAAACTAGACAGAAGCATTCTCAGAAACTTATTTGTGATGTGCGCCCTCAACTAACAGTGTTGAAGCATTCTTTTGATAGAGCAGTTTTGAAACACTCTTTTTGTGGAATCTGCAAGTGGATATTTGTCTAGCTTTGAGGATTTCGTTGGAAACGGGATTACATATAAAAAGCAGACAGCAGCATTCTCAGAAACTTATTTGTGATGTGCGCCCTCAACTAACAGTGTTGAAGCTTTCTTTTGATAGAGCAGTTTTGAAACACTCTTTTTGTAATATCTGCAAGAGGATATTTGGATAGCTTTGAGGATTTCGTTGGAAACGGGATTAATTATACAAAGCAGACAGCAGCATTCTCAGAAGCTTCATTGGGATGTTTCAATTGAAATCACAGTGTTGAACAGTTCCTTTCATAGAACAGGTTTGAAACACTCTTTTTGTAGTATCTGGAAGTGGACATTTGGAGCGCTCTCAGGACTATGGTGAAAAAGGAAATATCTTCCAATAAAAGCTACATAGAAGCAATGTCAGAAACTTTTTCATGATGTATCTACTCAGCTAACAGAGTTGAACCTTTCTTTTGAGAGAGCAGTTTTGAAACACTCGTTTTGTGGAATCTGCAAGTGGATATTTGTCTAGCTTTGAGGATTTCGTTGGAAACGGGATTACATATAAAAAGCAGACAGCAGCATTCCCAGTAACTTCTTCGTGATGTTTGCATTCAAGTCACAGAGTTGAACATTCCCTTTCATAGAGCAGGTTTGAAACACTTTTTTTGTAGTATCTGGATGTGGACATTTGGAGCGCTTTCAGGCCTATGGTGAAAAAGGAAATATCTTCCAATAAAAGCTAGATAGAAGCATTCTCAGAAACTTATTTGTGATGTGCGCCCTCAACTAACAGTGTTGAACCTTTCTTTTGATAGAGCAGTTTTGAAACACTCTTTTTGTAATATCTGCAAGAGGATATTTGGATAGCTTTGAGGATTTCGTTGGAAACGGGATTGTCTTCATATAAACTCTAGACAGAAGCATTCTCAGAAGCTTCATTGGGATGTTTCAATTGAAGTCACAGTGTTGAACAGTCCCTTTCATAGAGCAGGTTTGAAACACTCTTTTTGTAGTATCTGGATGTGGACATTTGGAGCGCTTTCAGGCCTATGGTGAAAAAGGAAATATCTTCCCCTGAAAACTAGACAGAAGCATTCTCAGAAACTTATTTGTGATGTGCGCCCTCAACTAACAGTGCTGAAGCATTCTTTTGATAGAGCAGTTTTGAAACACTCTTTTTGTGGAATCTGGAAGTGGATATTTGTCTAAATTTGAGGATTTCGTTGGAAACGGGATTACATATAAAAAGCAGACAGCAGCATTCTCAGAAACTTATTTGTGATGTGCGCCCTCAACTAACAGTGTTGAAGCTTTCTTTTGATAGAGCAGTTTTGAAACACTCTTTTTGTAATATCTGCAAGAGGATATTTGGATAGCTTTGAGGATTTCGTTGGAAACGGGATTAATTATACAAAGCAGACAGCAGCATTCTCAGAAGCTTCATTGGGATGTTTCAATTGAAGTCACAGTGTTGAACAGTCCCTTTCATAGAGCAGGTTTGAAACACTCTTTTTGTAGTATCTGTAAGTGGACATTTGGAGCGCTCTCAGGACTGCGGTGAAAAAGGAAATATCTTCCAATAAAAGCTAGATAGAAGCAATGTCAGAAACTTTTTCATGATGTATCTACTCAGCTAACAGAGTTGAACCTTCCTTTGAGAGAGCAGTTTTGAAACACTCTTTTTGTGGAATCTGCAAGGGGATATTTGCCTAGCTTTGAGGATTTCGTTGGAAACGGGATTACATATAAAAAGCAGACAGCAGCATTCCCAGAAACTCCTTTGTGATGTTTGCATTCAAGTCACAGAGTTGAACATTCCCTTTCATAGAGCAGGTTTGAAACACTCTTTTTGTAGTATCTGGATGTGGACATTTGGAGCGCTTTCAGGCCTATGGTGAAAAAGGAAATATCTTCCCCTGAAAACTAGACAGAAGCATTCTCAGAAACTTATTTGTGATGTGCGCCCTCAACTAACAGTGTTGAAGCTTTCTTTTGATAGAGCAGTTTTGAAACACTCTTTTTGTAATATCTGCAAGAGGATATTTGGATAGCTTTGAGGATTTCGTTGGAAACGGGATTGTCTTCATATAAACTCTAGACAGAAGCATTCTCAGAAGCTTCATTGGGATGTTTCAATTGAAGTCACAGTGTTGAACAGTCCCTTTCATAGAGCAGGTTTGAAACACTCTTTTTGTAGTATCTGGATGTGGAGATTTGGAGTGCTTTCAGGCCTATGGTTTAAAAGGAAATATCTTCCCCTGAAAACTGGACAGAAGCATTCTCAGAAACTTATTTGTGATGTGCGCCCTCAACTAACAATGTTGAACCTTTCTTTTGATAGAGCAGTTTTGAAACACTCTTTTTGTGGAATCTGCAAGTGGATGTTTGTCTAGCTTTGAGGATTTCGTTGGAAACCGGATTACATATAAAAAGCAGACAGCAGCATTCTCAGAAACTTATTTGTGATGTGCGCCCTCAACTAACAGTGTTGAAGCTTTATTTTGATAGAGCAGTTTTGAAACACTCTTTTTGTAATATCTGCAAGAGAATATTTGGATAGCTTTGAGGATTTCGTTGGAAACGGGATTGTCTTCATATAAACTCTAGAAAGAAGCATTCTCAGAAGCTTCATTGGGATGTTTCAATTGAAGTCACAGTGTTGAACAGTCTCTTTCATAGAGCAGGTTTGAAACACTCTTTTTGTAGTATCTGGAAGTGGACATTTGGAGCGCTCTCAGGACTGCGGTGAAAAAGGAAATATCTTCCAATAAAAGCTACATAGAAGCAATGTCAGAAACTTTTTCATGATGTATCTACTCAGCTAACAGTGTTGAAGCATTCTTTTGATAGAGCAGTTTTGAAACACTCTTTTTGTGGAATCTGCAAGTGGATATTTGTCTAGATTTGAGGATTTCGTTGGAAACGGGATTAATTATAAAAAGCAGACAGCAGCATTCCCAGAAAGTTCTTTGTGAAATTTGCATTCAAGTCACAGACTTGAACATTCCCTTTCATAGAGCAGGTTTGAAACACTCTTTTTGTAGTATCTGGATGTGGACATTTGGAGCGCTTCCAGGCCTATGGTGAAAAAGGAAATATCTTCCCCTGAAAACTAGACAGAAGCATTCTCAGAAACTTATTTGTGATGTGCGCCCTCAACTAACAGTGTTGAAGCTTTCTTTTGATAGAGCACTTTTGAAACACTCTTTTTGTAATATCTGCAAGAGGATATTTGGATAGCTTTGAGGATTTCGTTGGAAACGGGATTGTCTTCATATAAACTCTAGACAGAAGCATTCTCAGAAGCCTCATTGGGATGTTTCAATTGAAGTCACAGTGTTGAACAGTCCCTTTCATAGAGCAGGTTTGAAACACTCTTTTTGTAGTATCTGGATGTGGACATTTGGAGCGCTTTCAGGCCTATGGTGAAAAAGGAAATATCTTCCTCTGAAAACTAGACAGAAGCATTCTCAGAAACTTATTTGTGATGTGCGCCCTCAACTAACAGTGTTGAACCTTTCTTTTGATAGAGCAGTTTTGAAACACTCTTTTTGTAATATCTGCAAGAGGATATTTGGATAGCTTTGAGGATTTCGTTGGAAACGGGATTACATATAAAAAGCAGACAGCAGCATTCTCAGAAACTTATTTGTGATGTGCGCCCTCAACTAACAGTGTTGAAGCTTTATTTTGATAGAGCAGTTTTGAAACACTCTTTTTGTAATATCTGCAAGAGAATATTTGGATAGCTTTGAGGATTTCGTTGGAAACGGGATTGTCTTCATATAAACTCTAGAAAGAAGCATTCTCAGAAGCTTCATTGGGATGTTTCAACTGAAGTCACAGTGTTGAACAGTCCCTTTCATAGAGCAGGTTTGAAACACTCTTTTTGTAGTATCTGGAAGTGGACATTTGGAGCGCTCTCAGGACTACGGTGAAAAAGGAAATATCTTCCAATAAAAGCTAGATAGAAGCAATGTCAGAAACTTTTTCATGATGTATCTACTCAGCTAACAGAGTTGAACCTTTCTTTTGAGAGAGCAGTTTTGAAACACTCTTTTTGTGGAATCTGCAAGTGGATATTTGTCTAGCTTTGAGGATTTCGTTGGAAACGGGATTACATATAAAAAGCAGACAGCAGCATTCCCAGAAACTTCTTTGTGATGTTTGCATTCAAGTCACAGAGTTGAACATTCCCTTTCATAGAGCAGGTTTGAAACAGTCTTTTTGTAGTATCTGGATGTGGAGATTTGGAGCGCTTTCAGGCCTATGGTGAAAAAGGAAATACCTTCCCCTGAAAACTAGACAGAAGCATTCTCAGAAACTTATTTGTGATGTGCGCCCTCAACTAACAGTGTTGAACCTTTCTTTTGATAGAGCAGTTTTGAAACACTCTTTTTGTAATATCTGCAAGAGGATATTTGGATAGCTTTGAGGATTTCGTTGGAAACGGGATGGTCTTCATATAAACTCTAGACAGAAGCATTCTCAGAAGCTTCATTGGGATGTTTCAATTGAAGTCACAGTGTTGAACAGTCCCTTTCATAGAGCAGGTTTGAAACACTCTTTTTGTAGTATCTGGATGTGGACATTTGGAGCGCTTTCAGGCCTATGGTGAAAAAGGAAATATCTTCCCCTGAAAACTAGACAGAAGCATTCTCAGAAACTTATTTGTGATGTGCGCCCTCAACTAACAGTGTTGAAGCTTTCTTTTGATAGAGCAGTTTTGAAACACTCTTTTTGTGGAATCTGCAAGTGGATATTTGTCTAGCTTTGAGGATTTCGTTGGAAACGGGATTACATATAAAAAGCAGACAGCAGCATTCCCAGAATCTTGTTTGTGATGTTTGCATTCGAGTCACAGAGTTGAACATTCCCTTTCAGAGAGCAGGTTTGAAACACTCTTTTTATAGTATCTGGATGTGGACATTTGGAGCGCTTTCAGGCCTATGGTGAAAAAGGAAATATCTTCTCCTGAAAACTAGACAGAAGCATTCTCAGAAGCGTCATTGGGATGTTTCAATTGAAGTCACAGTGTTGAACAGTCCCTTTCATAGAGCAGGTTTGAAACACTCTTTTTGTAGTATCTGGAAGTGGACATTTGGAGAGATCTCAGGAATACGGTGATAAAGGAAATATCTTCCAATAAAAGCTAGATAGAAGCAATGTCAGAAACTTTTTCATGATGTATCTACTCAGCTAACATAGTTGAACCTTTCTTTTGAGAGAGCAGTTTTGAAACAGTCTTTTTGTGGAATCTGCAAGTGGATATTTGTCTAGCTTTGAGGATTTCGTTGGAAACGGGATTACATATAAAAAGCAGACAGCAGCATTCCCAGAAACTTCTTTGTGATGTTTGCATTCAAGTCACAGAGTTGAACATTCCCTTTCATAGAGCAGGTTTGAAACACTCTTTTTGTAGTATCTGGATGTGGACATTTGGAGCGCTTTCAGGCCTATGGTGAAAAAGGAAATATTTTCCACTGAAAACTGGACAGAAGGAGTCTCAGAAACTTATTTGTGATGTGCGCCCTCAACTAACAGTGTTGAAGCTTTCTTTTGATAGAGCAGTTTTGAAACATTCTTTTTGTAAAATCTGCAAGAGGATATTTGGATAGCTTTGAGGATTTCGTTGGAAACGGGATTGTCTTCATATTAACCCTAGACAGTAGCATTCTCAGAAGCTTCATTGGGATGTTTCAATTGAAGTCACAGTGTTGAACAGTCCCTTTCATAGAGCAGGTTTGAAACACTTTTTTTGTAGCATCTGGAAGTGGACATTTGGAGCGTTCTCAGGACTACGGTGAAAAAGGAAATATCTTCCAATAAAAGCTAGATAGAAGCAATGTCAGAAACTTTTTCATGATGTATCTACTCAGCTAAAAGAGTTGAACCTTTCTTTTGAGAGAGCAGTTTTGAAACACTCTTTTTGTGGAATCTGCAAGTGGATATTTGTCTAGCTTTGAGGATTTCGTTGGAAACGGGATTACATAGAAAAAGCAGACAGCAGCATTCCCAGTAACTTCTTTGTGATGTTTGCATTCAAGTCACAGAGTTGAACATTCCCTTTCATAGAGCAGGTTTGAAACACTCTTTTTGTAGTATCTGGATGTGGACATTTGGAGCGCTTTCAGGCCTATGGTGAAAAAGGAAATATCTTCCAATAAAAGCTAGATAGAAGCATTCTCAGAAACTTATTTGTGATGTGCGCCCTCAACTAACAGTGTTGAAGCTTTCTTTTGATAGAGCAGTTTTGAAACACTCTTTTTGTAAAATCTGCAAGAGGATATTTGGATAGCTTTGAGGATTTCGTTGGAAACGGGATTGTCTTCATATACAATCTAGACAGAAGCATTCTCAGAAACTTCATTGGGATGTTTCTATTGAAGTCGCAGTGTTGAACAGTCCCTTTCATGGAGTAGGTTTGAAACACTCTTTTTGTAGTATCTGGACGTGGACATTTGTAGCGCTTTCAGGGCTATATTGAAAAAGGAAATATCTTCCCATAAAAACTAGACAGAAGCATTCTCAGAAACTTATTTGTGATGTGCGCCCTCAACTAACAGTGTTGAACCTTTCTTTTGATAGAGCAGTTTTGAAACACTCTTTTTGTAATATCTGCAAGAGGATATTTGGATAGCTTTGAGGATTTCGTTGGAAACGGGATTAATTATAAAAAGCAGACAGCAGCATTCTCAGTAAACTTATTTGTGATGTGCGCCCTCAACTAACAGTGTTGAACCTTTCTTTTGATAGAGCAGTTTTGAAACACTCTTTTTGTAATATCTGCAAGAGGATATTTGGATAGCTTTGAGGATTTCGTTGGAAACGGGATTGTCTTCATATAAACTCTAGACAGAAGCATTCTCAGAAGCTTCATTGGGATGTTTCAATTGAAGTCACAGTGTTGAACAGTCCCTTTCATAGAGCAGGTTTGAAACACTCTTTTTGTAGTATCTGGAAGTGGACATTTGGAGAGATCTCAGGAATACGTTGATAAAGGAAATATCTTCCAATAAAAGCTAGATAGAAGCAATGTCAGAAACTTTTTCATGATGTATCTACTCAGCTAACAAAGTTGAACCTTCATTTGAGAGAGCAGTTTTGAAACACTCGTTTTGTGGAATCTGCAAGTGGATATTTTTCTAGCTTTGAGGATTTCGTTGGAAACGGGATTACATATAAAAAGCAGACAGCAGCATTCCCAGAAACTTCTTTGTGATGTTTGCATTCAAGTCACAGAGTTGAACATTCCCTTTCATAGAGCAGGTTTGAAACACTCTTTTTGTAGTATCTGGATGTGGACATTTGGAGCGCTTTCAGGCCTATGGTGAAAAAGGAAATATCTTCCCCTGAAAACTAGACAGAAGCATTCTCAGAAACTTATTTGTGATGTGCGCCCTCAACTAACAGTGTTGAACTTTTCTTTTGATAGAGCAGTTTTGAAACACTCTTTTTGTAATATCTGCAAGAGGACATTTGGTTACCTTTGAGGATTTCGTTGGAAACGGGATTGTCTTCATATAAACTCTAGACAGAAGCATTCTCAGAAGCTTCATTGGGATGTTTCAATTGAAGTCACAGTGTTGAACAGTCCCTTTCATAGAGCAGGTTTGAAACACTCTTTTTGTAGTATCTGGATGTGGACATTTGGAGCGCTTTCAGGCCTATGGTGAAAAAGGAAATATCTTCCCCTGAAAACTAGACAGAAGCATTCTCAGAAACTTATTTGTGATGTGCCCCCTCAACTAACAGTGTTGAAGCTTTCTTTTGATAGAGCAGTTTTGAAACACTCTTTTTGTGGAATCTGCAAGTGGATATTTGTCTAGCTTTGAGGATTTCGTTGGAAACGGGATTACATATAAAAAGCAGACAGCAGCATTCTCAGAAACTTATTTGTGATGTGCGCCCTCAACTAACAGTGTTGAAGCTTTCTTTTGATAGAGCAGTTTTGAAACACTCTTTTTGTAATATCTGCAAGAGGATATTTGGATAGCTTTGAGGATTTCGTTGGAAACGGGATTAATTATACAAAGCAGACAGCAGCATTCTCAGAAGCTTCATTGGGATGTTTCAATTGAAGTCACAGTGTTGAACAGTCCCTTTCATAGAGCAGGTTTGAAACACTCTTTTTGTAGTATCTGGAAGTGGACATTTGAAGAGATCTCAGGAATACGGTGATAAAGGAAATATCTTCCACTAAAAGCTAGATAGAAGCAATGTCAGAAACTTTTTCATGATGTATCTACTCAGCTAACAGAGTTGAACCTTTCTTTTGAGAGAGCAGTTTTGAAACACTCTTTTTGTGGAATCTGCAAGTGGATATTTGTCTAGCTTTGAGGATTTCGTTGGAAACGGGATTACATATAAAAAGCAGACAGCAGCATTCCCAGAAACTTCTTTGTGATGTTTGCATTCAAGTCACAGAGTTGAACATTCCCTTTCATAGAGCAGGTTTGAAACACTCTTTTTGTAGTATGTGGATGTGGACATTTGGAGCGCTTTCAGGCCTATGGTGAAAAAGGAAATATCTTCCCCTGAAAACTAGGCAGAAGAATTCTCAGAATCTTATTTGTGATGTGCGCCCTCAACTAACAGTGTTGAAGCTTTCTTTTGATAGAGCAGTTTTGAAACACTCTTTTTGTAAAATCTGCAAGAGGATATTTGGATAGCTTTGAGGATTTCGTTGGAAACGGGATTGTCTTCATATAAACTCTAGACAGAAGCATTCTCAGAAGCGTCATTGGGATGTTTCAATTGAAGTCACAGTGTTGAACAGTCCCTTTCATACAGCAGGTTTGAAACACTCTTTTTGTAGTATCTGGATGTGGACATTTGGAGCGCTTTCAGGCCTATGGTTTAAAAGGAAATATCTTCCCCTGAAAACTAGACAGAAGCATTCCCAGAAACTTCTTTGTGATGTTTGCATTCAAGTCACAGAGTTGAACATTCCCTTTCATAGAGCAGGTTTGAAACACTCTTTTTGTAGTATCTGGATGTGGACATTTGCAGCGCTTTCAGGAATAAGGTGAAAAAGGAAATATCTTCCCCTGAAAACTAGACAGAAGCATTCTCAGAAACTTATTTGTGATGTGCGCCCTCAACTAACAGTGTTGAACCTTTCTTTTGATAGAGCAGTTTTGAAACACTCTTTTTGTAATATCTGCAAGAGGATATTTGGATAGCATTGAGGATTTGTTTGGAAACGGGATTGTCTTCATATAAACTCTAGACAGAAGCATTCTCAGAAGCTTCATTGGGATGTTTCAATTGAAGTCACAGTGTTGAACAGTCCCTTTCATAGAGCAGGTTTGAAACACTCTTTTTGTAGTATCTGGAAGTGGACATTTGGAGAGATCTCAGGAATACGGTGATAAAGGAAATATCTTCCAATAAAAGCTAGATAGAAGCAATATCAGAAACTTTTTCATGATGTATCTACTCAGCTAAAAGAGTTGAACCTTTCTTTTGAGAGAACAGTTTTGAAACAATATTTTTGTGGAATCTGCAAGGGGATATTTGTCTAGCTTTGAGGATTTCGTTGGAAACGGGATTACATATAAAAAGCAGACAGCAGCATTCCCAGAAAGTTCTTTGTGAAATTTGCATTCAAGTCACAGACTTGAACATTCCCTTTCATAGAGCAGGTTTGAAACACTCTTTTTGTAGTATCTGGATGTGGACATTTGGAGCGCTTTCAGGCCTATGGTGAAAAAGGAAATATCTTCCCTTGAAAACTAGACAGAAGCATACTCAGAATCTTATTTGTGATGTGCGCCCTCAACTAACAGTGTTGAAGCTTTCTTTTGATAGAGCAGTTTTGAGACACTCTTTTTGTAAAATCTGCAAGAGGATATTTGGATAGTTTTGAGGATTTCGTTGGAAACGGGATTGTCTTCATACAGAATCTAGACAGAAGCATTCCCAGAAACTTCTTTGTGATGTTTGCATTCAAGTCACAGAGTTGAACATTCCCTTTCATAGAGCAGGTTTGAAACACTCTTTTTGTAGTATCTGGATGTGGACATTTTCAGCGATTTCAGGCCTAAGGTGAAAAAGGAAATATCTTCCCCTGAAAACTAGACAGAAGCATTCTCAGAAACTTATTTGTGATGTGCGCCCTCAACTAACAGTGTTGAAGCTTTCTTTTGATAGAGCAGTTTTGAAACACTCTTTTTGTGGAATCTGCAAGTGGATGTTTGTCTAGCTTTGAGGATTTCGTTGGAAACGGGATTACATATAAAAAGCAGACAGCAGCATTCTCAGTAAACTTATTTGTGATGTGCGCCCTCAACTAACAGTGTTGAACCTTTCTTTTGATAGAGCAGTTTTGAAACACTCTTTTTGTAATATCTGCAAGAGGATATTTGGATAGCTTTGAGGATTTCGTTGGAAACGGGATTGTCTTCATATAAACTCTAGACAGAAGCATTCTCAGAAGCTTCATTGGGATGTTTCAATTGAAGTCACAGTGTTGAACAGTTCCTTTCATAGAACAGGTTTGAAACACTCTTTTTGTAGTATCTGGAAGTGGACATTTGGAGCGCTCTCAGGACTATGGTGAAAAAGGAAATATCTTCCAATAAAAGCTACATAGAAGCAATGTCAGAAACTTTTTCATGATGTATCTACTCAGCTAACAGAGTTGAACCTTTCTTTTGAGAGAGCAGTTTTGAAACACTCTTTTTGTGGAATCTGCAAGTGGATATTTGTCTAGCATTGAGGATTTCGTTGGAAACGGGATTACATATAAAAAGCAGACAGCAGCATTCCCAGTAAACTTCTTTGTGATGTTTGCATTCAAGTCACAGAGTTGAACATTCCCTTTCATAGAGCAGGTTTGAAACACTCTTTTTGTAGTATCTGGATGTGGACATTTGGAGCGCTTTCAGGCCTATGGTGAAAAAGGAAATATCTTCCCATGAAAACTAGACAGAAGCATTCTCAGAAACTTATTTGTGATGTGCGCCCTCAAATAACAGTGATGAAGCTTTCTTTTGATAGAGCAGTTTTGAAACACTCTTTTTGTAATATCTGCAAGAGGATATTTGGATAGCTTTGAGGATTTCGTTGGAAACGGGATTGTCTTCATATAAACTCTAGACAGAAGCATTCTCAGAAGCTTCATTGGGATGTTTCAATTGAAGTCACAGTGTTGAACAGTCCCTTTCATAGAGCAGGTTTGAAACACTCTTTTTGTAGTATCTGGAAGTGGACATTTGGAGAGATCTCAGGACTACGGTGAAAAAGGAAATATCTTCCAATAAAAGCTAGATAGAAGCAATGTCAGAAACTTTTTCATGATGTATCTACTCAGCTAACAGAGTTGAACCTTTCTTTTGAGAGAGCAGTTTTGAAACACTCTTTTTGTGGAATCTGCAAGTGGATACTTGTCTAGCTTTGAGGATTTCGTTGGAAACGGGATTACATATAAAAAGCAGACAGCAGCATTCCCAGAAACTTCTGTGTGATGTTTGCATTCAAGTCACAGACTTGAACATTCCCTTTCATAGAGCAGGTTTGAAACACTCTTTTTGTAGTATCTGGATGTGGACATTTGGAGCGCTTGCAGGCCTATGGTGAAAAAGGAAATATCTTCCCCTGAAAACTAGACAGAAGCATTCTCAGAAACTTATTTGTGATGTGCGCCCTCAACTAACAGTGTTGAAGCTTTCTTTTGATAGAGCAGTTTTGAAACACTCTTTTTGTAATATCTGCAAGAGGATATTTGGATAGCTTTGAGGATTTCGTTGGAAACGGGATTGTCTTCATATAAACTCTAGACAGAAGCATTCTCAGAAGCTTCATTGGGATGTTTCAATTGAAGTTACAGTGTTGAACAGTCTCTTTCATAGAGCAGGTTTGAAACACTCTTTTTGTAGTATCTGGATGTGGACATTTGGAGCGCTTTCAGGCCTATGGTTTAAAAGGAAATATCTTCCCCTGAAAACTAGACAGAAGCATTCTCAGAAACTTATTTGTGATGTGCCCCCTCAACTAACAGTGTTGAAGCTTTCTTTTGATAGAGCAGTTTTGAAACACTCTTTTTGTGGAATCTGCAAGTGGATATTTGTCTAGCTTTGAGGATTTCGTTGGAAACGGGATTACATATAAAAAGCAGCCAGCAGCATTCTCAGAAACTTATTTGTGATGTGCGCCCTCAACTAACAGTGTTGAAGCTTTCTTTTGATAGAGCAGTTTTGAAACACTCTTTTTGTAATATCTGCAAGAGGATATTTGGATAGCTTTGAGGATTTCGTTGGAAACGGGATTAATTATACAAAGCAGACAGCAGCATTCTCAGAAGCTTCATTGGGATGTTTCAATTGAAGTCACAGTGTTGAACAGTCCCTTTCATAGAGCAGGTTTGAAACACTCTTTGTAGTATCTGGAAGTGGACATTTGGAGCGCTCTCAGGACTACGGTGAAAAAGGAAGTATCTTCCAATAAAAGCTAGATAGAAGCAATGTCAGAAACTTTTTCATGATGTATCTACTCAGCTAAAAGAGTTGAACCTTTCTTTTGTGAGAGCAGTTTTGAAACACTATTTTTGTGGAATCTGGAAGTGGATATTTGTCTAGCTTTGAGGATTTCGTTGGAAACGGGATTACATATAGAAAGCAGACAGCAGCATTCCCAGTAACTTCTTTGTGATGTTTGCATTCAAGTCACAGAGTTGAACATTCCCTTTCATAGAGCAGGTTGGAAACACTCTTTTTGTAGTATCTGGATGTGGACATTTGGAGCGCTTTCAGGCCTATGGTGAAAAAGGAAATATCTTCCCCTGAAAACTAGACAGAAGAATTCTCAGAGTCTTATTTGTGATGTGCGCCCTCAACTAACAGTGTTGAAGCTTTCTTTTGATAGAGCAGTTTTTAAACACTCTTTTTGTAAAATCTGCAAGAGGATATTTGGATAGCTTTGAGGATTTCGTTGGAAACGGGATTGTCTTCATATAAACTCTAGACAGAAGCATTCTCAGAAGCTTCATTGGGATGTTTCAATTGAAGTCACAGTGTTGAACAGTCCCTTTCATACAGCAGGTTTGAAACACTCTTTTTGTAGTATCTGGATGTGGACATTTAGAGCGCTTTCAGGCCTATGGTGAAAAAGGAAATATCTTCTCCTGAAATCTAGACAGAAGCATTCTCAGAAACTTATTTGTGATGTGCGCCCTCAACTAACAGTGTTGAAGCTTTCTTTTGATAGAGCAGTTTTGAAACACTCTTTTTGTGGAATCTGCAAGTGGATATTTGTCTAGCTTTGAGGATTTCGTTGGAAACGGGATTACATATAAAAAGCAGACAGCAGCATTCTCAGTAAACTTATTTGTGATGTGCGCCCTCAACTAACAGTGTTGAACCTTTCTTTTGATAGAGCAGTTTTGAAACACTCTTTTTGTAATATCTGCAAGAGGATATTTGGATAGCTTTGAGGATTTCGTTGGAAACGGGATTGTCTTCATATAAACTCTAGACAGAAGCATTCTCAGAAGCTTCATTGGGATGTTTCAATTGAAGTCACAGTGTTGAACAGTCCCTTTCATAGAGCAGGTTTGAAACACTCTTTTTGTAGTATCTGGAAGTGGACATTTGGAGCGCTCTCAGGACTACGGTGAAAAAGGAAGTATCTTCCAATAAAAGCTAGATAGAAGCAATGTCAGAAACTTTTTCATGATGTATCTACTCAGCTAACAGAGTTGAACCTTTGTTTTGAGAGAGCCGTTTTGAAACACTCTTTTTGTGGAATCTGCAAGTGGATATTTGTCTAGCTTTGATGATTTCGTTGGAAACGGGATTACATATAAAAAGCAGACAGCAGCATTCCCAGAAACTTCTTTGTGTTGTTTGCATTCAAATCACAGAGTTTAACATTCCCTTTCATAGAGCAGGTTTGAAACACTCTTTTTGTAGTATCTGGATGTGGACATTTGCAGCGCTTTCAGGCCTAAGGTGAAAAAGGAAATATCTTCCCCTGAAAACTAGACAGAAGCATTCTCAGAATCTTATTTGTGATGTGCGCCCTCAACTAGCAGTGTTGAAACTTTCTTTTGATAGAGCAGTTTTGAAACACTCTTTTTGTAAAATCTGCAAGAGGATATTTGGATAGCTTTGAGGATTTCGTTGGAAACGGGATTGTCTTCATATAAAATCTGGACAGAAGCATTCTCAGAAGCTTCATTGGGATGTTTCAATTGAAGTCACAGTGTTGAACAGTCCCTTTCATAGAGCAGGTTTGAAACACTCTTTTTGTAGTATCTGGATGTGGACATTTCGAGCGCTTTCAGGCCTATGGTGAAAAAGGAAATATCTTCCCCTGAAAACTAGACAGAAGCATTCTCAGAAACTTATTTGTGATGTGCGCCCTCAACTAACAGTGTTGAAGCTTTCTTTTGATAGAGCAGTTTTGAAACACTCTTTTTGTGGAATCTGCAAGTGGATATTTTTCTAGCTTTGAGGATTTCGTTGGAAACGGGATTACATATAAAAAGCAGACAGCAGCATTCTCAGAAACTTATTTGTGATGTGCGCCCTCAACTAACAGTGTTGAAGCTTTCTTTTGATAGAGCAGTTTTGAAACACTCTTTTTGTAATATCTGCAAGAGGATATTTGGATAGCTTTGAGGATTTCGTTGGAAACGGGATTAATTATACAAAGCAGACAGCAGCATTCTCAGAAGCTTCATTGGGATGTTTCAATTGAAGTCACAGTGTTGAACAGTTCCTTTCATAGAACAGGTTTGAAACACACTTTTTGTAGTATCTGGAAGTGGACATTTGGAGGGCTCTCAGGACTATGGTGAAAAATTAAATATCTTCCAATAAAAGCTACATAGAAGCAATGTCAGAAACTTTTTCATGACGTATCTACTCAGCTAACAGTGTTGAACCTTTCTTTTGAGAGAGCCGTTTTGAAACACTCTTTTTGTGGAATCTGCAAGTGGATATTTGTCTAGCTTTGAGGATTTCGTTGGAAACGGGATTACTATAAAATGCAGACAGCAGCATTCCCAGAAACTTCTTTGTGATGTTTGCATTCAAGTCACAGAGTTGAACATTCCCTTTCATAGAGCAGGTTTGAAACACTCTTTTTGTAGTATCTGGATGTGGACATTTGGAGCGCTTTCAGGCCTATGGTGAAAAAGGAAGTATCTTCCCCTGAAAACTAGACAGAAGCATTCTCAGAAACTTATTTGTGATGTGCGCCCTCAACTAACAGTGTTGAAGCTTTCTTTTGATAGAGCAGTTTTGAAACACTCTTTTTGTAATATCTGCAAGAGGATATTTGGATAGCTTTGAGGATTTCGTTGGAAACGGGATTGTCTTCATATAAACTCTAGGCAGAAGCATTCTCAGAAGCTTCATTGGGATGTTTCAATTGAAGTCACAGTGTTGAACAGTCCCTTTCATAGAGCAGGTTTGAAACACTCTTTTTGTAGTATCTGGATGTGGACATTTGGAGCGCTTTCAGGCATATGGTTTAAAAGGAAATATCTTCCCCTGAAAACTAGACAGAAGCATTCTCAGAAACTTATTTGTGATGTGCGCCCTCAACTAACAGTGTTGAAGCTTTCTTTTGATAGAGCAGTTTTGAAACACTCTTTTTGTGGAATCTGCAAGTGGATATTTGTCTAGATTTGAGGATTTCGTTGGAAACGGGATTACATATAAAAAGCAGACAGCAGCATTCTCAGAAACTTATTTGTGATGTGCGCCCTCAACTAACAGTGTTGAAGCTTTCTTTTGATAGAGCAGTTTTGAAACACTCTTTTTGTAATATCTGCAAGAGGATATTTGGATAGCTTTGAGGATTTCGTTGGAAACGGGATTAATTATACAAAGCAGACAGCAGCATTCTCAGAAGCTTCATTGGGATGTTTCAATTGAAGTCACAGTGTTGAACAGTCCCTTTCATAGAGCAGGTTTGAAACACTCTTTTTGTAGTATCTGCAAGTGGACATTTGGAGAGATCTCAGGAATACGGTGATAAAGGAAATATCTTCCAATAAAAGCTAGATAGAAGCAATGTCAGAAACTTTTTCATGATGTATCTACTCAGCTAACAGAGTTGAACCTTTCTTTTGAGAGAGCAGTTTTGAAACACTCTTTTTGTGGAATCTGCAAGTGGATATTTGTCTAGCTTTGAGGATTTCGTTGGAAACGGGATTACATATAAAAAGCAGACAGCAGCATTCCCAGAAACTTCTTTGTGTTGTTTGCATTCAAGTCACAGAGTTGAACATTCCCTTTCATAGAGCAGGTTTGAAACACTCTTTTTGTGGTATCTGGATGTGGACATTTGCAGCGCTTTCAGGCCTAAGGTGAAAAAGGAAATATCTTCCCCTGAAAACTAGACAGAAGCATTCTCAGAAACTTATTTGTGATGTGCGCCCTCAACTAACAGTGTTGAAGCTTTCTTTTGATAGAGCAGTTTTGAAACACTCTTTTTGTAATATCTGCAAGAGGATATTTGGATAGCTTTGAGGATTTCGTTGGAAACGGGATTGTCTTCATATAAACTCTAGACAGAAGCATTCTCAGAAGCTTCATTGGGATGTTTCAATTGAAGTTGCAGTGTTGAACAGTCCCTTTCATAGAGCAGGTTTGAAACACTCTTTTTGTAGTATCTGGATGTGGACATTTGGAGCGCTTTCAGGCCTATGGTTTAAAAGGAAATATCTTCCCCTGAAAACTAGACAGAAGCATTCTCAGAAACTTATTTGTGATGTGCGCCCTCAACTAACAGTGTTGAAGCTTTCTCTTGATAGAGCAGTTTTGAAACACTCTTTTTGTGGAATCTGCAAGTGGATATTTGTCTAGCTTTGAGGATTTCGTTGGAAACGGGATTACATATAAAAAGCAGACAGCTAAGCATTCTCCGAAACTTATTTGTGATGGGCGCCCTCAACTAACAGTGTTGAAGCTTTCTTTTGATAGAGCAGTTTTGAAACACTCTTTTTGTAATATCTGCAAGAGGATATTTGGATAGCTTTCAGGATTTCGTTGGAAACGGGATTGTCTTCATATAAACTCTAGACATAAGCATTCTCAGAAGCTTCATTGGGATGTTTCAATTGAAGTCACAGTGTTGAACAGTCCCTTTCATAGAGCAGGTTTGAAACACTCATTTTGTAGTATCTGGAAGTGGACATTTGGAGCGCTCTCAGGACTGCGGTGAAAAAGGAAATATCTTCCAATAAAAGCTAGATAGAAGCAATGTCAGAAACTTTTTCATGATGTATCTACTCAGCTAACAGAGTTGAACCTTTCTTTTGAGACAGCAGTTTTGAAACACTCTTTTTGTGGAATCTGGAAGTGGATATTTGTCTAGCTTTGAGGATTTCGTTGGAAACGGGATTACATATAAAAAGCAGACAGCAGCATTCCCAGTAACTTCTTTGTGGTGTTTGCATTCAAGTCACAGAGTTGAACATTCCCTTTCATAGAGCAGGTTTGAAACACTCTTTTTGTAGTATCTGGATGTGGACATTTGCAGCGCTTTCAGGCCTATGGTGAAAAAGGAAATATCTTCCCCTGAAAACTAGACAGAAGCATTCTCAGAAACTTATTTGTGATGTGCGCCCTCAACTAACAGTGTTGAAGCTTTCTTTTGATAGAGCAGTTTTGAAACACTCTTTTTGTAATATCTGCAAGAGGATATTTGGATAGCTTTGAGGATTTCGTTGGAAACGGGATTGTCTTCATATAAACTCTAGGCAGAAGCATTCTCAGAAGCTTCATTGGGATGTTTCAATTGAAGTCACAGTGTTGAACAGTCCCTTTCATAGAGCAGGTTTGAAACACTCTTTTTGTAGTATCTGGATGTGGACATTTCGAGCGCTTTCAGGCCTATGGTGAAAAAGGAAATATCTTCCCCTGAAAACTAGACAGAAGCATTCTCAGAAACTTATTTGTGATGTGCGCAATCAACTAACAGTGTTGAAGCTTTCTTTTGATAGAGCAGTTTTGAAACACTCTTTTTGTGGAATCTGCAAGTGGATATTTGTCTAGCTTTGAGGATTTCGTTGGAAACGGGATTACATATAAAAAGAAGACAGCAGCATTCTCAGAAACTTATTTGTGATGTGCGCCCTCAACTAACAGTGTTGAAGCTTTCTTTTGATAGAGCAGTTTTGAAACACTCTTTTTGTAATATCTGCAAGAGGATATTTGGATAGCTTTGAGGATTTCGTTGGAAACGGGATTAATTATACAAAGCAGACAGCAGCATTCTCAGAAGCTTCATTGGGATGTTTCAATTGAAGTCACAGTGTTGAACAGTCCCTTTCAAAGAGCAGGTTTGAAACACTCTTTTTGTAGTATCTGGAAGTGGACATTTGGAGAGATCTCAGGAATACGGTGATAAAGGAAATATCTTCCAATAAAAGCTAGATAGAAGCAATGTCAGAAACTTTTTCATGATGTATCTACTCAGCTAACAGAGTTGAACCTTTCTTTTGAGAGAGCAGTTTTGAAACACTCTTTTTGTGGAATCTGCAAGAGGATATTTGGATAGCTTTGAGGATTTCTTTGGAAACGGGATTGTCTTCATATAAACTCTAGACAGAAGCATTCCCAGAAACTTCTTTGTGACGTTTGCATTCAAGTCACAGAGTTGAACATTCCCTTTCATAGAGCAGGTTTGAAACACTCTTTTTGTAGTATCTGGATGTGGACATTTGGAGCGCTTTCAGGCCTATGGTGAAAAAGGAAATATCTTCCCCTGAAAACTAGACAGAAGCGTTCTCAGAAACTTATTTGTGATGTGCGCCCTCAACTAACAGTGTTGAAGCTTTCTTTTGATAGAGCAGTTTTGAAACACTCTTTTTGTAATATCTGCAAGAGGATATTTGGATAGCTTTGAGGATTTCGTTGGAAACGGGATTGTCTTCATATAAACTCTAGACAGAAGCATTCTCAGAAGCTTCATTGGGATGTTTCAATTGAAGTCACAGTGTTGAACAGTCCCTTTCATAGAGCAGATTTGAAACACTCTTTTTGTAGTATCTGGATGTGGACATTTGGAGCGCTTTCAGGCCTATGGTTTAAAAGGAAATATCTTCCCCTGAAAACTAGACAGAAGCATTCTCAGAAACTTATTTGTGATGTGCGCCCTCAACTAACAGTGTTGAAGCTTTCTTTTGATAGAGCAGTTTTGAAACACTCTTTTTGTGGAATCTGCAAGTGGATATTTGTCTAGCTTTGAGGATTTCGTTGGAAACGGGATTACATATAAAAAGCAGACAGCAGCATTCTCAGAAACTTATTTGTGATGTGCGCCCTCAACTAACAGTGTTGAAGCTTTCTTTTGATAGAGCAGTTTTGAAACACTCTTTTTGTAATATCTGCAAGAGGATATTTGGATAGCTTTGAGGATTTCGTTGGAAACGGGATTAATTATACAAAGCAGACAGCAGCATTCTCAGAAGCTTCATTGGGATGTTTCAATTAAAGTCACAGTGTTGAACAGTCCCTTTCATAGAGCAGGTTTGAAACACTCTTTTTGTAGTATCTGGAAGTGGACATTTGGAGAGATCTCAGGAATACGGTGATAAAGGAAATATCTTCCAATAAAAGCTAGATAGAAGCAATGTCAGAAACTTTTTCATGATGTATCTACTCAGCTAACAGAGTTGAACCTTTCTTTTGAGAGAGCAGTTTTGAAACACTCTTTTTGTGGAATCTGCAAGTGGATATTTGTCTAGCTTTGAGGATTTCGTTGGAAACGGGATTACATATAAAAAGCAGACAGCAGCATTCCCAGTAACTTGTTTGTGATGTTTCCATTCAAGTCACAGAGTTGAACATTCCCTTTCATAGAGCAGGTTTGAAACACTCTTTTTGTAGTATCTGGATGTGGACATTTGGAGCGCTTTCAGGCCTATGGTGAAAAAGGAAATATCTTCCCCTGAAAACTAGACAGAAGCATTCTCAGAATCTTATTTGTGATGTGCGCCCTCAACTAACAGTGTTGAAGCTTTCTTTTGATAGAGCAGTTTTGAAACACTCTTTTTGTAAAATCTGCAAGAGGATATTTGGATAGCTTTGAGGATTTCGTTGGAAACGGGATTGTCTTCATATAAACTCTAGACAGAAGCATTCTCAGAAGCTTCATTGGGATGTTTCAATTGAAGTCACAGTGTTGAACAGTCCCTTTCATAGAGCAGGTTTGAAACACTCTTTTTGTAGTATCTGGATGTGGACATTTGGAGCGCTTTCAGGCCTATGGTGAAAAAGGAAATATCTTCCCCTGAAAACTAGACAGAAGCATTCTCAGAAACTTATTTGTGATGTGCGCCTTCAACTAACAGTGTTGAAGCATTCTTTTGATAGAGCAGTTTTGAAACACTCTTTTTGTGGAATCTGCAAGTGGATATTTGTCTAGCTTTGAGGATTTCGTTGGAAACGGGATTACATATAAAAAGCAGACAGCAGCATTCTCAGAAACTTATTTGTGATGTGCGCCCTCAACTAACAGTGTTGAAGCTTTCTTTTGATAGAGCAGTTTTGAAACACTCTTTTTGTAATATCTGCAAGAGGATATTTGGATAGCTTTGAGGATTTCGTTGGAAACGGGATTAATTATACAAAGCAGACAGCAGCATTCTCAGAAGCTTCATTGGGATGTTTCAATTGAAGTCACAGTGTTGAACAGTCCCTTTCATAGAGCAGGTTTGAAAAACTCTTTTTGTAGTATCTGGAAGTGGACATTTGGAGCGCTCTCAGGAATACGGTGAAAAAGGAAATATCTTCCAATAAAAGCTAGATAGAAGCAATGTCAGAAACTTTTTCATGATGTATCTACTCAGCTAACAGAGTTGAACCTTTCTTTTGAGAGAGCAGTTTTGAAACACTCTTTTTGTGGAATCTGCAAGTGGATATTTGTCTAGCTTTGAGGATTTCGTTGGAAACGGGATTACATATAAAAAGCAGACAGCAGTATTCCCAGAAACTTCTTTGTGATGTTTGCATTCAAGTCACAGATTTGAACATTCCCTTTCATAGAGCAGGTTTGAAACACTCTTTTTGTAGTATCTGGATGTGGACATTTGGAGCGCTCTCAGGCCTATGGTGAAAAAGGAAATATCTTCCCCTGAAAACTAGACAGAAGCATTCTCAGAATCTTATTTGTGATGTGCGCCCTCAACTAACAGTGTTGAAGCTTTCTTTTGATAAAGCAGTTTTGAAACACTCTTTTCGTAAAATCTGCAAGAGGATATTTGGATAGCTTTGAGGATTTCGTTGGAAACGGGATTGTCTTCATATAAACTCTAGACAGAAGCATTCTCAGAAGCTTCATTGGGATGTTTCAATTGAAGTCACAGTGTTGAACAGTCCCTTTCATAGAGCAGGTTTGAAACACTCTTTTTGTAGTATCTGGATGTGGACATTTAGAGCGCTTTCAGGCCTATGGTGAAAAAGGAAATATCTTCCCCTGAAAACTAGACAGAAGCATTCTCAGAAACTTATTTGTGATGTGCGCCCTCAACTAACAGTGTTGAAGCATTCTTTTCATAGAGCAGTATTGAAACACTCTTTTTGTGGAATCTGCAAGTGGATATTTGTCTAGCTTTGAGGATTTCGTTGGAAACGGGATTACATATAAAAAGCAGACAGCAGCATTCTCAGAAACTTATTTGTGATGTGCACCCTCAACTAACAGTGTTGAAGCTTTCTTTTGATAGAGCCGTTTTGAAACACTCTTTTTGTAATATCTGCAAGAGGATATTTGGATAGCTTTGAGGATTTCGTTGGAAACGGGATTGTCTTCATATAAACTCTAGACAGAAGCATTCTCAGAAGCTTCATCGGGATGTTTCAATTGAAGTCACAGTGTTGAACAGTTCCTTTCATAGAACAGGTTTGAAACACTCTTTTTGTAGTATCTGGAAGTGGACATTTGGAGCGCTCTCAGGACTATGGTGAAAAAGGAAATATCTTCCAATAAAAGCTACATAGAAGCAATGTCAGAAAATTTTTCATGAGGTATCTACTCAGCTAACAGAATTGAACCTTTCTTTTGAGAGAGCAGTTTTGAAACACTCTTTTTGTGGAATCTGCAGGTGGATATTTGTCTAGCTTTGAGGATTTCGTTGGAAACGGGATTACATATAAAAAGCAGACAGCAGCATTCCCAGTAACTACTTTGTGATGTTTGCATTCAAGTCACAGAGTTGAACATTCCCTTTCATAGAGCAGGTTTGAAACACTCTTTTTGTAGTATCTGGATGTGGACATTTGGAGCGCTTTCAGGCCTATGGTGAAAAAGGAAATATCTTCCCCTGAAAACTAGACAGAAGCATTCTCAGAAACTTATTTGTGATGTGCGCCCTCAACTAACAGTGTTGAAGCTTTCTTTTGATAGAGCAGTTTTGAAACACTCTTTTTGTAATATCTGCAAGAGGATATTTGGATAGCTTTGAGGATTTCGTTGGAAACGGGATTGTCTTCATATAAACTCTAGGCAGAAGCATTCTCAGAAGCGTCATTGGGATGTTTCAATTGAAGTCACAGTGTTGAACAGTCCCTTTCATAGAGCAGGTTTGAAACACTCTTTTTGTAGTATCTGGATGTGGACATTTGGAGCGCTTTCAGGCCTATGGTTTAAAAGGAAATATCTTCCCCTGAAAACTAGACAGAAGCATTCTCAGAAACTTATTTGTGATGTGCGCCCTCAACTAACAGTGTTGAAGCTTTCTTTTGATAGAGCAGTTTTGAAACACTCTTTTTGTGGAATCTGCATCTGGATATTTTTCTAGCTTTGAGGATTTCGTTGGAAACGGGATTACATATAAAAAGCAGTCAGCAGCATTCTCAGCAAACTTATTTGTGATGTGCGCCCTCAACTAACAGTGTGGAACTTTTCTTTTGATAGAGCAGTTTTGAAACACTCTTTTTGTAAAATCTGCAAGAGGATATTTGGATAGCTTTGAGGATTTCGTTGGAAACGGGATTGTCTTCATATAGAATCTAGACAGAAGCATTCTCAGAAGCTTCATTGGGATGTTTCAATTGAAGTCACAGTGTTGAACAGTCCCTTTCATAGAGCAGGTTTGAAACACTCTTTTTGTAGTATCTGGAAGTGGACATTTGGAGCGCTCTCAGGACTACGGTGAAAAAGGAAATATCTTCCAATAAAAGCTAGATAGAAGCAATGTCAGAAACTTTTTCATGATGTATCTACTCAGCTAACAGAGTTGAACCTTCCTTTGAGAGAGCAGTTTTGAAACACTCTTTTTGTGGAATCTGCAAGTGGATATTTGCCTAGCTTTGAGGATTTCGTTGGAAACGGGATTACATATAAAAAGCAGACGGCAGCATTCCCAGAATCTTGTTTGTGATGTTTGCATTCAAGTCACAGAGTTGAACATTCCCTTTCAGAGAGCAGGTTTGAAACACTCTTTTTATAGTATCTGGATGTGGACATTTGGAGCGCTTTCAGGCCTATGGTGAAAAAGGAAATATCTTCTCCTGAAAACTAGACAGAAGAATTCTCAGAAACTTATTTGTGATGCGCGCCCTCAACTAACAGTGTTGAAGCTTTCTTTTGATAGAGCAGTTTTGAAACACTCTTTTTGTAAAATCTGCAAGAGGATATTTGGATAGCTTTGAGGATTTCGGTGGAAATGGGATTGTCTTCATATAAACTCTAGACAGTAGCATTCTCAGAAGCGTCATTAGGATGTTTCAATTGAAGTCACAGTGTTGAACAGTCCCTTTCATAGAGCAGGTTTGAAACACTCTTTTTGTAGTATCTGGATGTGGACATTTGGAGCGCTTTCAGGCCTATGGTTTAAAAGGAAATATCTTCCCCTGAAAACTAGACAGAAGCATTCTCAGAAACTTATTTGTGATGTGCGCCCTCAACTAACAGTGTTGAAGCTTTCTCTTGATAGAGCAGTTTTGAAACACTCTTTTTGTGGAATCTGCACGTGGATATTTGTCTAGCTTTGAGGATTTCGTTGGAAACGGGATTACATATAAAAAGCAGACAGCAGCATTCTCAGTAAACTTATTTGTGATGTGCGCCCTCAACTAACAGTGTTGAACCTTTCTTTTGATAGAGCAGTTTTGAAACACTCTTTTTGTAATATCTGCAAGAGGATATTTGGATAGCTTTGAGGATTTCGTTGGAAACGGGATTGTCTTCATATAAACTCTAGACAGAAGCATTCTCAGAAGCTTCATTGGGATGTTTCAATTGAAGTCACAGTGTTGAACAGTCCCTTTCATAGAGCAGGTTTGAAACACTCTTTTTGTAGTATCTGGAAGTGGACATTTGGAGCGCTCTCAGGACTACGGTGAAAAAGGAAATATCTTCCAATAAAAGCTAGATAGAAGCAATGTCAGAAACTTTTTCATGATGTATCTACTCAGCTAACAGAGTTGAACCTTCCTTTGAGAGAGCAGTTTTGAAACACTCTTTTTGTGGAATCTGCAAGTGGATATTTGTCTAGCTTTGAGGATTTCGTTGGAAACGGGATTACATATAAAAAGCAGACAGCAGCATTCCCAGAAACTTCTTTGTGATGTTTGCATTCAAGTCACAGAGTTGAACATTCCCTTTCATAGAGCAGGTTTGAAACAGTCTTTTTGTAGTATATGGATGTGGACATTTGGATCGCTTTCAGGCCTATGGTGAAAAAGGAAATATGTTCCCCTGAAAACTAGACAGAAGCATTCTCAGAAACTTATTTGTGATGTGCGCCCTCAACTAACAGTGTTGAACCTTTCTTTTGATAGAGCAGTTTTGAAACAGTCTTTTTGTAATATCTGCAAGAGGATATTTGGATAGCTTTGAGGATTTCGTTGGAAACGGGATTGTCTTCATATAAACTCTAGACAGAAGCATTCTCAGAAGCTTCATTGGGATGTTTCAATTGAAGTCACAGTGTTGAACAGTCCCTTTCATAGAGCAGGTTTCAAACACTCTTTTTGTAGTATCTGGATGTGGACATTTGGAGCGCTTTCAGGCCTATGGTTTAAAAGGAAATATCTTCCCCTGAAAACTAGACAGAAGCATTCTCAGAAACTTATTTGTGATGTGCGCCCTCAACTAACAGTGTTGAACCTTTCTTTTGATAGAGCAGTTTTGAAACACTCTTTTTGTAATATCTGCAAGAGGATATTTGGATAGCTTTGAGGATTTCGTTGGAAACGGGATTACATATAAAAAGCAGACAGCTAAGCATTCTCCGAAACTTATTTGTGATGGGCGCCCTCAACTAACAGTGTTGAAGCTTTCTTTTGATAGAGCAGTTTTGAAACACTCTTTTTGTAATATCTGCAAGAGGATATTTGGATAGCTTTCAGGATTTCGTTGGAAACGGGATTGTCTTCATATAAACTCTAGACATAAGCATTCTCAGAAGCTTCATTGGGATGTTTCAATTGAAGTCACAGTGTTGAACAGTCCCTTTCATAGAGGAGGTTTGAAACACTCTTTTTGTAGTATCTGGAAGTGGACATTTGGAACGCTCTCAGGACTGCGGTGAAAAAGGAAATATCTTCCAATAAAAGCTACATAGAAGCAATGTCAGAAACTTTTTCATGATGTATCTACTCAGCTAACAGAGTTGAACCTTCATTTGAGAGAGCAGTTTTGAAACACTCGTTTTGTGGAATCTGCAAGTGGATATTTGTCTAGCTTAGAGGATTTCGTTGGAAACGGGATTACATATAAAAAGCAGACAGTAGCATTCCCAGAAACTTCTTTGTGATGTTTGCATTCAAGTCACACAGTTGAACTTTCCCTTTCATAGAGCAGGTTTGAAACACTCTTTTTGTAGTATCTGGATGTGGACATTTGGAGCGCTTTCAGGCTTATGGTGAAAAAG
The DNA here is from genome assembly GCF_000001405.40 of Homo sapiens. NCBI lineage: Eukaryota > Metazoa > Chordata > Mammalia > Primates > Hominidae > Homo > Homo sapiens. The sequence goes on from NC_000002.12 coordinate 93,791,353, forward strand.
GAAATATCTTCCCCTGAAAACTAGACAGAAGCATTCTCAGAATCTTATTTGTGATGTGCGCCCTCAACTAACAGTGTTGAAGCTTTCTTTTGATAGAGCAGTTTTGAAACACTCTTTTTGTAAAATCTGCAAGAGGATATTTGTATAGCTCTGAGGATTTCATTGGAAACGGGATTGTCTTCATATAAACTCTAGAGAGAAGCATTCTCAGAAGCTTCATTGGGATGTTTCAATTGAAGTCACAGTGTTGAACAGTCCCTTTCATAGAGCAGATTTGAAACACTCTTTTTGTAGTATCTGGATGTGGACATTTGGAGCGCTTTCAGGCCTATGGTTTAAAAGGAAATATCTTCCCCTGAAAACTAGACAGAAGCATTCTCAGAAACTTATTTGTGATGTGCGCCCTCAACTAACAGTGTTGAAGCTTTCTTTTGATAGAGCAGTTTTGAAACACTCTTTTTGTGGAATCTGCAAGTGGATATTTGTCTAGCTTTGAGGATTTCGTTGGAAACGGGATTACATATAAAAAGCAGACAGCTAAGCATTCTCCGAAACTTATTTGTGATGGGCGCCCTCAACTAACAGTGTTGAAGCTTTCTTTTGATAGAGCAGTTTTGAAACACTCTTTTTGTAATATCTGCAAGAGGATATTTGGATAGCTTTCAGGATTTCGTTGGAAACGGGATTGTCTTCATATAAACTCTAGACATAAGCATTCTCAGAAGCTTCATTGGGATGTTTCAATTGAAGTCACAGTGTTGAACAGTCCCTTTCATAGAGCAGGTTTGAAACACTCTTTTTGTAGTATCTGGAAGTGGACATTTGGAGAGATCTCAGGAATACGGTGATAAAGGAAATATCTTCCAATAAAAGCTAGATAGAAGCAATGTCAGATACTTTTTCATGATGTATCTACTCAGCTAACAGAGTTGAACCTTTCTTTTGAGAGAGCAGTTTTGAAACACTCTTTTTGTGGAATCTGCAAGTGGATATTTGTCTAGCTTTGAGGATTTCGTTGGAAACGGGATTACATATAAAAAGCACGACAGCAGCATTCCCAGTAACTTCTTTGTGATGTTTGCATTCAAGTCACAGAGTTGAACATTCCCTTTCATAGAGCAGGTTTGAAACACTCTTTTTGTAGTATCTGTATGTGGACATTTGGAGCGCTTTCAGGCCTATGGTGAAAAAGGAAATATCTTCCCCTGAAAACTAGACAGAAGCATTCTCAGAAACTTATTTGTGATGTGCGCCCTCAACTAACAGTGTAGAACCTTTCTTTTGATAGAGCAGTTTTGAAACACTCTTTTCGTAAAATCTGCAAGAGGATATTTTGATAGCTTTGAGGATTTCGTTGGAAACGGGATTGTCTTCATATAAACTCTAGACAGAAGCATTCTCAGAAGCTTCATTGGGATGTTTCAATTAAAGTCACAGTGTTGAACAGTCCCTTTCATAGAGCAGGTTTGAAACACTCTTTTTGTAGTATCTGGAAGTGGACATTTGGAGCGCTCTCAGGAGTGCGGTGAAAAAGGAAATATCTTCCAATAAAAGCTAGATAGAAGCAATGTCAGAAACTTTTTCATGATGTATCTACTCAGCTAAAAGAGTTGAACCTTTCTTTTGAGAGAGCAGTTTTGAAACACTCTTTTTGTGGAATCTGCAAGTGGATATTTGTCTAGCTTTGTGGATTTCGTTGGAAACGGGATTACATATAAAAAGCAGACAGCAGTATTCCCAGAAACTTCTTTGTGATGTTTGCATTCAAGTCACAGAGTTGAACATTCCCTTTCATAGAGCAGGTTTGAAACACTCTTTTTGTAGTATCTGGATGTGGACATTTGGAGCGCTTTCAGGCCTATGGTGAAAAAGGAAATATCTTCCCCTGAAAAGTAGACAGAAGCATTCTCAGAAACTTATTTGTGATGTGCGCCCTCAACTAACAGTGTTGAAGCTTTCTTTTGATAGAGCAGTTTTGAAACACTCTTTTTGTAATATCTGCAAGAGGATATTTGGATAGCTTTCAGGATTTTCGTTGGAAACGGGATTGTCTTCATATAAACTCTAGACAGAAGCATTCTCAGAAGCTTCATTGGGATGTTTCAATTGAAGTCACAGTGTTGAACAGTCCCTTTCATAGAGCAGATTTGAAACACTCTTTTTGTAGTATCTGGATGTGGACATTTGGAGCGCTTTCAGGCCTATGATTTAAAAGGAAATATCTTCCCCTGAAAACTAGACAGAAGCATTCTCAGAAACTTATTTGTGATGTGCGCCCTCAACTAACAGTGTTGAACCTTTCTTTTGATAGAGCAGTTTTGAAACACTCTTTTTGTAATATCTGCAAGAGGATATTTGGATAGCTTTGAGGATTTCGTTGGAAACGGGATTACATATAAAAAGCAGACAGCAGCATTCTCAGAATCTTATTTGTGATGTGCGCCCTCAACTAACAGTGTTGAAGCTTTCTTTTGATAGAGCAGTTTTGAAACCCTCTTTCCGTAAAATCTGCAAGAGGATATTTTGATAGCTTTGAGGATTTCGTTGGAAACGGGATTGTCTTCATATCAACTCTAGACAGAAGCATTCTCAGAAGCTTCATTGGGATGTTTCAATTAAAGTCACAGTGTTGAACAGTCCCTTTCATAGAGCAGGATTGAAACACTCTTTTTGTAGTATCTTGAAGTGGACATTTGGAACGCTCTCAGGAGTGCGGTGAAAAAGGAAATATCTTCCAATAAAAGCTAGATAGAAGCAATGTCAGAAACTTTTTCATGATGTATCTACTCAGCTAACAGAGTTGAACCTTCATTTGAGAGAGCAGTTTTGAAACACTCGTTTTGTGGAATCTGCAAGTGGATATTTGTCTAGCTTTGAGGATTTCGTTGGAAACGGGATTACATATAAAAAGCAGACAGCAGCATTCCCAGAAACTTCTTTGTGATGTTTGCATTCAAGTCACAGAGTTGAACATTCCCTTTCATAGAGCAGGTTTGAAACACTCTTTTTGTAGTATCTGGATGTGGACTTTTGCAGCGCTTTCAGGCCTAAGGTGAAAAAGGAAATATCTTCCCCTGAAAACTAGACAGAAGCATTCTCAGAATCTTATTTGTGATGTGCGCCCTCAACTAACAGTGTTGAAGCTTTCTTTTGATAGAGCAGTTTTGAAACACTCTTTTTGTAAAATCTGCAAGAGGATATTTGGATAGCTTTGAGGATTTCGTTGGAAACGGGATTGTCTTCATATAAACTCTAGACTGAAGCATTCCCAGTAACTTCTTTGTGATGTTTGCATTCAAGTCAGAGAGTTGAAACATTCCCTTTCGTAGAGCAGGTTTGAAACACTCTTTTTGTAGTATCTGGATGTGGACATTTGGAGCGCTTTCAGGCCTATGGTGAAAAAGGAAATATCTTCCCCTGAAAACTAGACAGAAGCATTCTCAGAAACTTATTTGTGATGTGCGCCCTCAACTAACAGTGTTGAACCTTTCTTTTGATAGAGCAGTTTTGAAACACTCTTTTTGTAATATCTGCAAGAGGATATTTGGATAGCTTTGAGGATTTCGTTGGAAACGGGATTACATATAAAAAGCAGACAGCAGCATTCTCAGCAAACTTATTTGTGATGTGCGCCCTCAACTAACAGTGTGGAACTTTTCTTTTGATAGAGCAGTTTTGAAACACTCTTTTTGTAAAATCTGCAAGAGGATATTTGGATAGCTTTGAGGATTTCGTTGGAAACGGGATTGTCTTCATATAGAATCTAGACAGAAGCATTCTCAGAAGCTTCATTGGGATGTTTCAATTGAAGTCACAGTGTTGAACAGTCCCTTTCATAGAGCATGTTTGAAACAATCTTTTTGTAGTATCTGGAAGTGGACATTTGGAGCGCTCTCAGGACTACGGTGAAAAAGGAAATATCTTCCAAATAAAGCTAGATAGAAGCAATGTCAGAAACTTTTTCATGATGTATCTACTCAGCTAACAGAGTTGAACCTTTTTTTTGAGAGAGCAGTTTTGAAACACTCTTTTTGTTGGATCTGCAGGTAGATATTTGTCTAGCTTTGAGGATTTCGTTGGAAACGGGATTACATATAAAAAGCAGACAGCAGCATTCCCAGTAAACTTCTGTGTGATGTTTGCATTCAAGTCACAGAGTTGAACATTCCCTTTCATAGAGCAGGTTTGAAACACTCTTTTTGTAGTATCTGGATGTGGACATTTGGAGCGCTTTCAGGCCTATGGTGAAAACGGAAATATCTTCCCCTGAAAACTAGACAGAAGCATTCTCAGAATCTTATTTGTGATGTGCGCCCTCAACTAACAGTGTTGAAGCTTTCTTTTGATAGAGCAGTTTTGAAACACTCTTTTTGTAAAATCTGCAAGAGGATATTTGGATAGCTTTGAGGATTTCGTTGGAAACGGGATTGTCTTCATATAAACTCTAGACAGAAGCATTCTCAGAAGCTTCATTGGGATGTTTCAATTGAAGTCACAGTGTTGAACAGTCCCTTTCATAGAGCAGGTTTGAAACACTCTTTTTTTAGTATCTGGATGTGGACATTTGGAGCGCTTTCAGGCCTATGGTGAAAAAGGAAATATCTTCCCCTGAAAACTAGACAGAAGCATTCTCAGAAACTTATTTGTGATGTGCGCCCTCAACTAACAGTGTTGAAGCTTTCTTTTGATAGAGCAGTTTTGAAACACTCTTTTTGTGGAATCTGCAAGTGGATATTTGTCTAGCTTTGAGGATTTCGTTGGAAACGGGATTACATATAAAAAGCAGACAGCAGCATTCTCAGAAACTTATTTGTGATGTGCGCCCTCAACTAACAGTGTTGAAGCTTTCTTTTGATAGAGCAGTTTTGAAACACTCTTTTTGTAATATCTGCAAGAGGATATTTGGATAGCTTTGAGGATTTCGTTGGAAACGGGATTAATTATACAAAGCAGACAGCAGCATTCTCAGAAGCTTCATTGGGATGTTTCAATTGAAGTCACAGTGTTGAACAGTTCCTTTCATAGAACAGGTTTGAAACACTCTTTTTGTAGTATCTGGAAGTGGACATTTGGAGCGCTCTCAGGACTACGGTGAAAATGGAAATATCTTCCAATAAAAGCTAGATAGAAGCAATGTCAGAAACTTTTTCATGATGTATCTACTCAGCTAACAGAGTTGAACCTTTCTTTTGAGAGAACAGTTTTGAAACACTCTTTTTGTGGAATCTGCAAGTGGATATTTGTCTAGCTTTGAGGATTTCGTTGGAAACGGGATTACATATAAAAAGCAGACAGCAGCATTCCCAGAAACTTCTTTGTGATGTTTGCATTCAAGTCACAGAGTTGAACATTCCCTTTCACAGAGCAGGTTTGATACACTCTTTTTGTAGTATCTGGATGTGGACATTTGGCGCGCTTTCAGGCCTATGGTGAAAAAGGAAATATCTTCCCCTGAAAACTAGACAGAAGCATTCTCAGAATCTTATTTGTGATGTGCGCCCTCAACTAACAGTGTTGAAGCTTTCTTTTGATAGAGCAGTTTTGAAACACTCTTTTTGTAAAATCTGCAAGAGGATATTTGGATAGCTTTGAGGATTTCGTTGGAAACAGGATTGTCTTCATATAAACTCTAGACAGAAGTATTCTCAGAAGCTTCATTGGGATGTTTCAATTGAAGTCACAGTGTTGAACATTCCCTTTCATAGAGCAGGTTTGAAACACTCTTTTTGTAGTATCTGGAAGTGGACATTTGGAGCGCTCTCATGACTACGGTGAAAAAGGAAATATCTTCCAATAAAAGCTAGATAGAAGCAATGTCAGAAACTTTTTCATGATGTATCTACTCAGCTAACAGAGTTGAAAATTTCTTTTGAGAGAGCAGTTTTGAAACACTCTTTTTGTGGAAACTGCAAGTGGATATTTGTCTGGCTTTGAGGATTTCGTTGGAAACGGGATTACACATAAAAAGCAGACAGCAGCATTCCCCAGTAACTTCTTTGTGATGTTTGCATTCAAGTCAGAGAGTTGAACATTCCCTTTCATAGAGCAGGTTTGTAACACTCTTTTTGAAGTATCTGGATGTGGACATTTGGAGCGCTTTCAGGCCTATGGTGAAAAAGGAAATATCTTCCCCTGAAAACTAGACAGAAGCATTCTCAGAATCTTATTTGTGATGTGCGCCCTCAACTAACAGAGTTGAAGCTTTCTTTTGATAGAGCAGTTTTGAAACACTCTTTTTGTAAAATCTGCAAGAGGATATTTGGATAGCTTTGAGGATTTCGTTGGAAACGGGATTGTCTTCATATAAACTCTAGACAGAAGCATTCTCAGAAGCATCATTGGGATGTTTCAATTGAAGTCACAGTGTTGAACAGTCCCTTTCATAGAGCAGGTTTGAAACACTCTTTTTGTAGTATCTGGATGTGGACATTTGGAGCGCTTTCAGGCCTATGGTTTAAAAGGAAATATCTTCCCCTGAAAACTAGACAGAAGCATTCTCAGAAACTTATTTGTGATGTGCGCCCTCAACTAACAGTGTTGAAGCTTTCTTTTGATAGAGCGGTTTTGAAACACTCTTTTTGAATATCTGCAAGAGGATATTTGGATAGCTTTGAGGATTTCGTTGGAAACGGGATTAATTATAAAAAGCAGACAGCAGCATTCTCAGAAACTTATTTGTGATGTGCGCCCTCAACTAACAGTGTTGAAGCTTTCTTTTGATAGAGCAGTTTTGAAACACTCTTTTTGTAATATCTGCAAGAGGATATTTGGATAGCTTTGAGGATTTCGTTGGAAACGGGATTAATTATACAAAGCAGACAGCAGCATTCTCAGAAGCTTCATTGGGATGTTTCAATTGAAGTCACAGTGTTGAACAGTCCCTTTCATAGAGCAGGTTTGAAACACTCTTTTTGTAGTATCTGGAAGTGGACATTTGGAGAGATCTCAGGAATACGGTGATAAAGGAAATATCTTCCAATAAAAGCTAGATAGAAGCAATGTCAGAAACTTTTTCATGATGTATCTACTCAGCTAACAGAGTTGAACCTTCCTTTGAGAGAGCAGTTTTGAAACACTCTTTTTGTGGAATCTGCAAGTGGATATTTGTCTAGCTTTGAGGATTTCGTTGGAAACGGGATTACATATAAACAGCAGACAGCAGCATTCCCGGTAACTTCTTTGTGATGTTTGCATTCAAGTCACAGAGTTGAACATTCCCTTTCATACAGCAGGTTTGAAACACTCTTTTTGTAGTATCTGGATGTGGACATTTGGAGCGCTTTCAGGCCTATGGTAAAAAAGGAAATATCTTCCCCTGAAAACTAGACAGAAGAATTCTTAGAATCTTATTTGTGATGTGCGCCCTCAACTAACAGTGTTGAAGCTTTCTTTTGATAGAGCAGTTTTGAAACACTCTTTTTGTAAAATCTGCAAGAGGATATTTGGATAGCTTTGAGGATTTCGTTGGAAACGGGATTGTCTTCATATAAACTCTAGACAGAAGCATTCTCAGAAGCGTCATTGGGATGTTTCAATTGAAGTCACAGTGTTGAACAGTCCCTTTCATAGAGCAGGTTTGAAACACTCTTTTTGTAGTATCTGGATGTGGACATTTGGAGCGCTTTAAGCCTATGGTTTAAAAGGAAATATCTTCCCCTGAAAACTAGACAGAAGCATTCTCAGAAACTTATTTGTGATGTGCGCCCTCAACTAACAGTGTTGAAGCATTCTTTTGATAGAGCAGTTTTGAAACACTCTTTTTGTGGAATCTGCAAGTGGATATTTGTCTAGCTTTGAGGATTTCGTTGGAAACGGGATTACATATAAAAAGCAGACAGCAGCATTCTCAGAAACTTATTTGTGATGTGCGCCCTCAACTAACAGTGTTGAAGCTTTCTTTTGATAGAGCAGTTTTGAAACACTCTTTTTGTAATATCTGCAAGAGGATATTTGGATAGCTTTGAGGATTTCGTTGGAAACGGGATTAATTATACAAAGCAGACAGCAGCATTCTCAGAAGCTTCATTGGGATGTTTCAATTGAAGTCACAGTGTTGAACAGTCCCTTTCATAGAGCAGGTTTGAAACACTGTTTTTGTAATATCTGGAAGTGGACATTTGGAGCGCTCTCAAGACTACGGTGAAAAAGGAAATATCTTCCAATAAAAGCTAGATAGAAGCAATATCAGAAACTTTTTCATGATGTATCTACCCAGCTAAAAGAGTTGAACCTTTCTTTTGAGAGAGCAGTTTTGAAACACTCTTTTTGTGGAATCTGCAAGTGGATATTTGTCTAGCTTTGAGGATTTCGTTGGAAACGGGATTACATATAAAAAGCAGACAGCAGCATTCCCAGAAACTTCTTTGTGATGTTTGCATTCAAGTCACAGAGTTGAACATTCCCTTTCATAGAGCAGGTTTGAAACACTCTTTTTGTAGTATCTGGATGTGGACATTTGGAGCGCTTTCAGGCCTATGGTGAAAAAGGAAATATCTTCCCCTGAAAACTAGACAGAAGCATTCTCAGAATCTTATTTGTGATGTGCGCCCTCAACTAACAGTGTTGAAGCTTTCTTTTGATAGAGCAGTTTTGAAACACACTTTTTGTAAAATCTGCAACAGGATATTTGGATAGCTTTGAGGATTTCATTGGAAACGGGATTGTCTTCATATAAACTCTAGACAGAAGCATTCTCAGAAGCTTCATTCGGATGTTTCAATTGAAGTCACAGTGTTGAACAGTCCCTTTCATAGAGCAGGTGTGAAACACTCTTTTTGTAGTATCTGGAAGTGGACATTTGGAGCGCTCTCAGGACTGCGGTGAAAAAGGAAATATCTTCCAATAAAAGCTAGATAGAAGCATTCTCAGAAACTTATTTGTGATGTGCGCCCTCAACCAACAGTGTTGAAGCTTTCTTTTGACAGAGCAGTTTTGAAACACTCTTTTTGTGGAATCTGCAAGTGGATATTTGTCTAGCTTTGAGGATTTCGTTGGAAACGGGATTACATATAAAAAGCAGACAGCAGCATTCTCAGTAAACTTATTTGTGATGTGCGCCCTCAACTAACAGTGTTGAACCTTTCTTTTGATAGAGCAGTTTTGAAACACTCTTTTTGTAATATCTGCAAGAGGATATTTGGATAGCTTTGAGGATTTCGTTGGAAACGGGATTGTCTTCATATAAACTCTAGACAGAAGCATTCTCAGAAGCTTCATTGGGATGTTTCAATTGAAGTCACAGTGTTGAACAGTCCCTTTCATAGATCATGTTTGAAACACTCTTTTTGTAGTATCTGGAAGTTGACATTTGGAGCGTTTTCAGGACTACCGGTGAAAAAGGAAATATCTTCCAAATAAAGCTAGATAGAAGCAATGTCAGAAAATTTTTCATGATGTATCTACTCAGCTAACGAGAATTTAACCTTTCTTTTGAGAGAGCAGTTTTGAAACACTCTTTTTGTGGAATCTGCAAGTGGATATTTGTCTAGGTTTGAGGATTTCGTTGGAAACGGGATTACATATAAAAAGCAGACAGCAGCATTCCCAGAAACTTCTTTGTGATGTTTGCATTCAAGTCACAGAGTTGAACATTCTCTTTCATAGAGCAGGTTTGAAACACTCTTTTTGTAGTATCTGGATGTGGACATTTGGAGCGCTTCCAGGCCTATGGTGAAAAAGGAAATATCTTCCCCTGAAAACTAGACAGAAGCATTCTCAGAATCTTATTTGTGATGTGCGCCCTCAACTAACAGTGTTGAAGCTTTCTTTTGATAGAGCAGTTTTGAAACACTCTTTTTGTAAAATCTGCAAGAGGATATTTGGATAGCTTTGAGGATTTCGTTGGAAACGGGATTGTCTTCATATAAACTCTAGACAGAAAGCATTCTCAGATGCTTCATTGGGATGTTTCAATTGAAGTCACAGTGTTGAACAGTCCCTTTCATAGAGCAGGTTTGAAACACTCTTTTTGTAGTATCTGGATGTGGACATTTGGAGCGCTTTCAGGCCTATGGTGAAAAAGGAAATATCTTCCCCTGAAAACTAGACAGAAGCATTCTCAGAAACTTATTTGTGATGTGCGCCCTCAACTAACAGTGTTGAAGCATTCTTTTGATAGAGCAGTTTTGAAACACTCGTTTTGTGGAATCTGCAAGTGGATATTTGTCTAGCTTTGAGGATTTCGTTGGAAACGGGATTACATATAAAAAGCAGACAGCAGCATTCTCAGAAACTTATTTGTGATGTGCGCCCTCAACTAACAGTGTTGAAGCTTTATTTTGATAGAGCAGTTTTGAAACACTCTTTTTGTAATATCTGCAAGAGAATATTTGGATAGCTTTGAGGATTTCGTTGGAAACGGGATTGTCTTCATATAAACTCTAGAAAGAAGCATTCTCAGAAGCTTCATTGGGATGTTTCAATTGAAGTCACAGTGTTGAACAGTCCCTTTCATAGAGCAGGTTTGAAACACTCTTTTTATAGTATCTGGAAGTGGACATTTGGAGCGCTCTCAGGACTACGGTGAAAAAGGAAATATCTTCCAATAAAAGCTACATAGAAGCAATGTCAGAAACTTTTTCATGATGTATCTACTCAGCTAACACAGTTGAACCTTTCTTTTGAGAGAGCAGTTTTGAAACACTCTTTTTGTAAAATCTGCAAGAGGATATTTGGATAGCTTTGAGGATTTCGTTGGAAACGGGATTACATATAAAAAGCAGACAGCAGCATTCTCAGAAGCTTCATTGGGATGTTTCAATTGAAGTCACAGTGTTGAACAGTCCCTTTCATAGAGCAGGTATGAAACACTCTTTTTGTAGTATCTGGAAGTGGACATTTGGAGAGATCTCAGGAATACGGTGAAAAAGGAAATATCTTCTCCTGAAAACTAGACAGAAGAATTCTCAGAATCTTATTTGTTATGTGCGCCCTCAACTAACAGTGTTGAAGCTTTCTTTTGATAGAGCAGTTTTGAAACACTCTTTTCGTAAAATCTGCAAGAGGATATTTTGATAGCATTGAGGATTTCGTTGGAAACGGGATTGTCTTCATATAAACTCTAGACAGAAGCATTCTCAGAAGCTTCATTGGGATGTTTCAATTGAAGTCACAGTGTTGAACAGTCCCTTTCATAGAGCAGGTTTGAAACACTCTTTTTGTAGTATCTGGAAGTGGACATGTGGAGCGCTCTCAGGACTATGGTGATAAAGGAAATATCTTCCAATAAAAGCTAGATAGAAGCAATGTCAGAAACTTTTTCATGATGTATCTACTCAGCTAACAGAGTTGAACCTTTCTTTTGAGAGAGCAGTTTTGAAACACTCTTTTTGTGGAATCTGCAAGTGGATATTTGTCTAGCTTTGAGGATTTCGTTGGAAACGGGATTACATATAAAAAGCAGACAGCAGCATTCCCAGAAACTTCTTTGTGATGTTTGCATTCAAGTCACAGAGTTGAACATTCCCTTTCATAGAGCAGGTTTGAAACACTCTTTTTGTAGTATCTGGATGTGGACATTTGGAGCGCTTTCAGGCCTATGGTGAAAAAGGAAATATCTTCCCCTGAAAACTAGACAGAAGCATGCTCAGAAACTTATTTGTCATGTGCGCCCTCAACTAACAGTGTTGAACCTTTCTTTTGATAGAGCAGTTTTGAAACACTCTTTTTGTAATATCTGCAAGAGGATATTTGGATAGCTTTGAGGATTTCGGTGGAAACGGGATTGTCTTCATATAAAATCTAGACAGAAGCATTCTCAGAAGCATCATGGGGATGTTTCAATTGAAGTCACAATGTTGAACAGTCCCTTTCATAGAGCAGGTTTGAAACACTCTTTTTGTAGTATCTGGATGTGGACATTTGAGCGCTTTCAGGCCTATGGTTTAAAAGGAAATATCTTCCCCTGAAAACTAGACAGAAGCATTCTCAGAAACTTATTTGTGATGTGCGCCCTCAACTAACAGTGTTGAAGCATTCTTTTGATAGAGCAGTTTTGAAACACTCTTTTTGTGGAATCTGCAAGTGGATATTTGTCTAGCTTTGAGGATTTCGTTGGAAACGGGATTACATATAAAAAGCAGACAGCAGCATTCTCAGAATCTTATTTGTGATGTGCGCCCTCAACTAACAGTGTTGAAGCTTTCTTTTGATAGAGCAGTTTTGAAACACTCTTTTTGTAATATCTGCAAGAGGATATTTGGATAGCTTTGAGGATTTCTTTGGAAACGGGATTGTCTTCATATAAACTCTAGACAGAAGCATTCTCAGAAGCTTCATTGGGATGTTTCAATTGAAGTCACAGTGTTGAACAGTCCCTTTCATAGAGCAGGTTTGAAACACTCTTTTTGTAGTATCTGGAAGTGGACATTTGGAGAGATCTCAGGAATACGGTGATAAAGGAAATATCTTCCAATAAAAGCTAGATAGAAGCAATGTCAGAAACTTTTTCATGATGTATCTACTCAGCTAACAGAGTTGAACCTTTCCTTTGAGAGAGCAGTTTTGAAACACTCTTTTTGTGGAATCTGCAAGTGGATATTTGTCTAGCTTTGAGGATTTCGTTGGAAACGGGATTACATATAAAAAGCAGACAGCAGCATTCCCAGAATCTTCTTTGTGATATTTGCATTCAAGTCACAGAGTTGAACATTCCCTTTCATAGAGCAGGATTGAAACACTCTTTTTATAGTATCTGGATGTGGACATTTGGAGCGCTTTCAGGCCTATGGTGAAAAGGGAAATATCTTCTCCTGAAAACTAGACAGAAGCATTCTCAGTATCTTATTTGTGATGTGCGCCCTCAACTAACAGTGTTGAACCTTTCTTTTGATAGAGCAGTTTTGAAACACTCTTTTTGTAAAATCTGCAAGAGGATATTTGGATAGCTTTGAGGATTTCGTTGGAAACGGGATTGTCTTCATATAAACTCTAGACAGTAGCATTCTCAGAAGCTTCATTGGGATGTTTCAATTGAAGTCACAGTGTTGAACAGTCCCTTTCATAGAGCAGGTTTGAAACACTCTTTTTGTAGTATCTGGATGTGGACATTTGGAGCGCTTTCAGGCATATGGTTTAAAAGGAAATATCTTCCCCTGAAAACTAGACAGAAGCATTCTCAGAAACTTATTTGTGATGTGCGCCCTCAACTAACAGTGTTGAAGCATTCTTTTGATAGAGCAGTTTTGAAACACTCTTTTTGTGGAATCTGCAAGTGGATGTTTGTCTAGCTTTGAGGATTTCGTTGGAAACGGGATTACATATAAAAAGCAGACAGCAGCATTCTCAGTAAACTTATTTGTGATGTGCGCCCTCAACTAACAGTGTTGAACCTTTCTTTTGATAGAGCAGTTTTGAAACACTCTTTTTGTAATATCTGCAAGAGGATATTTGGATAGCTTTGAGGATTTCGTTGGAAACGGGATTGTCTTCATATAAACTCTAGACAGAAGCATTCTCAGAAGCTTCATTGGGATGTTTCAATTGAAGTCACAGTGGTGAACAGTCCCTTTCATAGAGCAGGTTTGAAACACTATTTTTGTAGTATCTGGAAGTGGACATTTGGAGAGATCTCAGGAATACGGTGATAAAGGAAATATCTTCCAATAAAAGCTAGATAGAAGCAATGTCAGAAACTTTTTCATGATGTATCTACTCAGCTAACAGAGTTGAACCTTTCTTTTGAGAGAGCAGTTTTGAAACACTCTTTTTGTGGAATCTGCAAGTGGATATTTGTCTAGCTTTGAGGATTTCGTTGGAAACGGGATTACATATAAAAAGCAGACAGCAGCATTCCCAGAAACTTCTTTGTGATGTTTGCATTCAAGTCACAGTGTTGAACATTCCCTTTCATAGAGCAGGTTTGAAACACTCTTTTTCTAGTATCTGGATGTGGACATTTGGAGCGCTTTCAGGCCTATGGTGAAAAAGGAAATATCTTCCCCTGAAAACTAGACAGAAGCATTCTCAGGAAACTTATTTGTGATGTGCGCCCTCAACTAACAGTGTTGAAGCTTTCTTTTGGTAGAGCAGTTTTGAAACACTCTTTTTGTAATATCTGCAAGAGGATATTTGGATAGCTTTGAGGATTTCGTTGGAAACGGGATTGTCTTCATATAAAGTCTAGACAGAAGCATTCTCAGATGCTTCATTGGGATGTTTCAATTGAAGTCACAGTGTTGAACAGTCCCTTTCATAGAGCAGGTTTGAAACACTCTTTTTGTAGTATCTGGATGTGGACATTTGGAGCGCTTTCAGGCCTATGGTGAAAAAGGAAATATCTTCCCCTGAAAACTAGACAGAAGCATTCTCAGAAACTTATTTGTGATGTGCGCCCTCAACTAACAGTGTTGAAGCTTTCTTTTGATAGAGCAGTTTTGAAACACTCTTTTTGTGGAATCTGCAAGTGGATATTTGTCTAGCTTTGAGGATTTCGTTGGAAACGGGATTACATATAAAAAGCAGACAGCAGCATTCTCAGCAAACTTATTTGTGATGTGCGCCCTCAACTAACAGTGTGGAACTTTTCTTTTGATAGAGCAGTTTTGAAACACTCTTTTTGTAAAATCTGCAAGAGGATATTTGGATAGCTTTGAGGATTTCGTTGGAAACGGGATTGTCTTCATATAGAATCTAGACAGAAGCATTCTCAGAAGCTTCATTGGGATGTTTCAATTGAAGTCACAGTGTTGAACAGTCCCTTTCATAGAGCAGGTTTGAAACACTCTTTTTGTAGTATCTGGAAGTGGACATTTGGAGAGATCTCAGGAATACGGTGATAAAGGAAATATCTTCCAATAAAAGCTAGATAGAAGCAATGTCAGAATCTTTTTCATGATGTGTCTACTCAGCTAACAGAGTTGAACCTTCCTTTGAGAGAGCAGTTTTGAAACACTCTTTTTGTGGAATCTGCAAGTGGATATTTGTCTAGCTTTGAGGATTTCGTTGGAAACGGGATTACATATAAAAAGCAGACAGCAGCATTCCCAGTAACTTCTTTGTGATGTTTGCATTCAAGTCACAGTGTTGAACATTCCCTTTCATAGAGCAGGTTTGAAACACTCTTTTTGTAGTATCTGGATGTGGACAATTGGAGCGCTTTCAGGCCTATGGTGAAAAAGGAAATATCTTCCCCAGAAAACTAGACAGAAGCATTCTCAGAATCTTATTTGTGATGTGCGCCCTCAACTAAACAGTGTTGAAGCTTTCTTTTGATAGAGCAGTTTTGAAACACTCTTTTTGTAAAATCTGCAAGAGAATATTTGGATAGCTTTGAGGATTTCGTTGGAAACGGGATTGTCTTCATATAAACTCTAGACAGAAGCATTCTCAGAAGCTTCATTGGGATGTTTCAATTAAAGTCACAGTGTTGAACAGTCCCTTTCATAGAGCAGGTTTGAAACACTCTTTTTGTAGTATCTGGAAGTGGACATTTGGAGCGCTCTCAGGACTGCGGTGAAAAAGGAAATATCTTCCAATAAAAGCTAGATAGAAGCAATGTCAGAAACTTTTTCATGATGTATCTACTCAGCTAACAGAGGTGAACCTTTCCTTTGAGAGAGCAGTTTTGAAACACTCTTTTTGTGGAATCTGCAAGTGGATATTTGTCTAGCTTTGAGGATTTCGTTGGAAACGGGATTACATATAAAAAGCAGACAGCAGCATTCTCAGAATCTTCTTTGTGATGTTTGCATTCAAGTCCCAGAGTTGAACATTCCGTTTCATAGAGCAGGTTTGAAACACTCTTTTTATAGTATCTGGATGTGGACATTTGGAGCGCTTTCAGGCCTATGGTGAAAAAGGAAATATCTTCTCCTGAAAACAAGACAGAAGCATTCTCAGAATCTTATTTGTGATGTGCGCCCTCAACTAACAGTGTTGAAGCTTTCTTTTGATAGAGCAGTTTTGAAACACTCTTTTCGTAAAATCTGCAAGAGGATATTTGGATAGCTTTGAGGATTTCGTTGGAAACGGGATTGTCTTCATATAAACTCTAGACAGAAGCATTCTCAGAAGCATATCATTGGGATGTTTCAATTGAAGTCACAGTGTTGAACAGTCCCTTTCATGGAGCAGGTTTGAAACACTCTTTTTGTAGTATCTGGAATGTGGACATTTGGAGCGCTTTCAGGCCTATGGTGAAAAAGGAAATATCTTCCCCTGAAAACTAGACAGAAGCATTCTCAGAAACTTATTTGTGATGTGCGCCCTCAACTAACAGTGTTGAAGCTTTCTTTTGATAGAGCAGTTTTGAAACACTCTTTTTGTGGAATCTGCAAGTGGATATTTGTCTAGCTTTGAGGATTTCGTTGGAAACGGGAATACATATAAAAAGCAGACAGCAGCATTCTCAGAAACTTATTTCTGATGTGCGCCCTCAACTAACAGTGTTGAAGCTTTCTTTTGATAGAGCAGTTTTGAAACACTCTTTTTGTAAAATCTGCAAGAGGATATTTGGATAGCTTTGAGGATTTCGTTGGAAACGGGATTGTCTTCATATAAACTCTAGAAAGAAGCATTCTCAGAAGCTTCATTGGGATGTTTCAATTGAAGTCACAGTGTTGAACAGTCCCTTTCATAGAGCAGGTTTGAAACACTCTTTTTGTAGTATCTGGAAGTGGACATTTGGAGAGATCTCAGGAATACGGTGATAAAGGAAATATCTTCCAATAAAAGCTAGATAGAAGCAATGTCAGAAACTTTTTCATGATGTATCTACTCAGCTAACAGAGTTGAACATTTCCTTTGAGAGAGCAGTTTTGAAACACTCTTTTTGTGGAATCTGCAAGTGGATATTTGTCTAGCTTTGAGGATTTCGTTGGAAACGGGATTACATATAAAAAGCAGACAGCAGCATTCCCAGTAACCTCTTTGTGATGTTTGCATTCAAGTCACAGAGTTGAACATTCCCTTTCATAGAGCAGGTTTGAAACACTCTTTTTGTAGTATCTGGATGTGGACATTTGGAGCGCTTTCAGGCCAATGGGGAAAAAGGAAATATCTTCCCCTGAAAACTAGACAGAAGCATTCTCAGAATCTTATTTGTGATGTGCGCCCTCAACTAACAGTGTTGAAGCTTTCTTTTGAGAGAGCAGTTTTGAAACACTCTTTTTGTAAAATCTGCAAGAGGATATTTGGATAGCTTTGAGGATTTCGTTGGAAACGGGATTGTCTTCATATAAACTCTAGACAGAAGCATTCTCAGAAGCATATCATTGGGATGTTTCAATTGAAGTCACAGTGTTGAACAGTCCCTTTCATGGAGCAGGTTTGAAACACTCTTTTTGTAGTATCTGGAATGTGGACATTTGGAGCGCTTTCAGGCCTATGGTGAAAAAGGAAATATCTTCCCCTGAAAACTAGACAGAAGCATTCTCAGAAACTTATTTGTGATGTGCGCCCTCAACTCACAGTGTTGAAGCATTCTTTTGATAGAGCAGTTTTGAAACACTCTTTTTGTGGAATCTGCAAGTGGATATTTGTCTAGCTTTGAGGATTTCGTTGGAAACGGGATTACATATGAAAAGCAGACAGCAATCATTCTCAGAATCTTATTTGTGATGTGCGCCCTCAACTAACAGTGTTGAAGCTTTCTTTTGATAGAGCAGTTTTGAAACACTCTTTTTGTAAAATCTGCAAGAGGATATTTGGATAGCTTTGAGGATTTCGTTGCAAACGGGATTGTCTTCATATAAACTCTAGACAGAAGCATTCTCAGAAGCTTCATTGGGATGTTTCAATTGAAGTCACAGTGTTGAACAGTCCCTTTCATAGAGCAGGTTTGAAACACTCTTTTTGTAGTATCTGGAAGTGGACATTTGGAACGCTCTCAGGACTGCGGTGAAAAAGGAAATATCTTCCAATAAAAGCTAGATAGAAGCAATGTCAGAAACTTTTTCATGACGTATCTACTCAGCTAACAGAGTTGAACCTTTCTTTTGAGAGAGCAGTTTTGAAACACTCTTTTTGTGGAATCTGCAAGTGGATATTTGTCTAGCTTTGAGGATTTCGTTGGAAACGGGATTACATATAAAAAGCAGACAGCAGCATTCCCAGAAACTTCTTTGTGATGTTTGCATTCAAGTCACAGAGTTGAACATTCCCTTTCATAGAACAGGTTTGAAACACTCTTTTTGTAGTATCTGGATGTGGACATTTGGAGCGCTTTCAGGCCTATGGTGAAAAAGGAAATATCTTCCCCTGGAAAACTAGACAGGAAGCATTCTCAGAAACTTATTTGTGATGTGCGCCCTCAACTAACAGTGTTGAACCTTTCTTTTGATAGAGCAGTTTTGAAACACTCTTTTTGTAATATCTGCAAGAGGATATTTGGATAGCTTTCAGGATTTCTTTGGAAACGGGATTGTCTTCATATAAACTCTAGACAGAAGCATTCTCAGAAGCTTCATTGGGATGTTTCAATTGAAGTCACAGTGTTGAACAGTCCCTTTCATAGAGCAGGTTTGAAACACTCTTTTTGTAGTATCTGGAAGTGGACATTTGGAGAGATCTCAGGAATACGGTGATAAAGGAAATATCTTCCAATAAAAGCTAGATAGAAGCAATGTCAGAAACTTTTTCATGATGTATCTACTCAGCTAAAAGAGTTGAACCTTTCTTTTGAGAGAGCAGTTTTGAAACACTATTTTTGTGGAATCTGCAAGTGGATATTTGTCTAGCTTTGAGGATTTCGTTGGAAACGGGATTACATATAAAAACCAGACAGCAGCATTCCTAGAAAGTTCTTTGTGAAATTTGCATTCAAGTCACAATCTTGAACATTCCCTTTCATAGAGCAGGTTTGAAACACTCTTTTTGTAGTATCTGGATGTGGACATTTGGAGCGCTTTCAGGCCTATGGTGAAAAAGGAAATATCTTCCCCTGTAAACTAGACAGAAGCATTCTCAGAAACTTATTTGTGATGTGCGCCCTCAACTAACAGTGTTGAACCTTTCTTTTGATAGAGCAGTTTTGAAACACTCTTTTGTAAAATCTGCAAGAGGATATTTGGATAGCTTTGAGGATTTCGTTGGAAACGGGATTGTCTTCATATAGAATCTAGACAGAAGCATTCTGAGAAGCTTCATTGGGATGTTTCAATTGAAGTCACAGTGTTGAACAGTCCCTTTCATAGAGCAGGTTTGAAACACTCTTTTTGTCATATCTGGAAGTGGACATTTGGAGCGTTCTCAGGACTACAGTGAAAAAGGAAATATCTTCCAATAAAAGCTAGATAGAAGCATTCTCAGAAACTTATTTGTGATGTGCGCCCTAAACTAACTGTGTTGAAGCTTTCTTTTGATAGAGCAGTTTTGAAACACTCTTTTTGTAATATCTGCAAGAGGATATTTGGATAGCTTTGAGGATTTCGTTGGAAACGGGATTAATTATAAAAAGCAGACAGCAGCATTCTCAGAAACTTATTTGTGATGTGCGCCCTCAACTAACAGTGTTGAAGCTTTCTTTTGATAGAGCAGTTTTGAAACACTCTTTTTGTAATATCTGCAAGAGGATATTTGGATAGCTTTGAGGATTTCGTTGGAAACGGGATTAATTATACAAAGCAGACAGCAGCATTCTCAGAAGCTTCAATGGGATGTTTCAATTGAAGTCACAGTGTTGAACAGTCCCTTTCATAGAGCAGGTTTGAAACAATCTTTTTGTAGTATCTGGAAGTGGACGTTTGGAGAGTTCTCAGGAATACGGTGATAAAGGAATTATCTTCCAATAAAAGCTAGATAGAAGCAATGTCAGAAACTTTTTCATGATGTATCTACTCAGCTAACAGAGTTGAACCTTTTTTTTGAGAGAGCAGTTTTGAAACACTCTTTTTGTTGGATCTGCAGGTAGATATTTGTCTAGCTTTGAGGATTTCGTTGGAAACGGGATTACATATAAAAAGCAGACAGCAGCATTCCCAGTAACTTCTTTGTGATGTTTGCATTCAAGTCACAGAGTTGAACATTCCCTTTCATAGAGCAGGTTTGAAACACTCTTTTTGTACTATCTGGATGTGGACATTTGGAGCGCTTTCAGGCCTATGGTGAAAAAGGAAATATCTTCCCCTGAAAACTAGACAGAAGCATTCTCAGAAACTTCTTTGTGATGTGCGCCCTCAACTAACAGTGTTGAAGCTTTCTTTTGATAGAGCAGTTTTGAAACACTCTTTTTGTAATATCTGCAAGAGGATATTTGGATAGCTTTGAGGATTTCGTTGGAAACGGGATTGTCTTCATATAAACTCTAGACAGAAGCATTCTCAGAAGCTTCATTGGGATGTTTCAATTGAAGTCACAGTGTTGAACAGTCCCTTTCATAGAGCAGGTTTGAAACACTCTTTTTGTAGTATCTGGATGTGGACATTTGGAGCGCTTTCAGGCCTATGGTGAAAAAGGAAATATCTTCCCCTGAAAACTAGACAGAAGCATTCTCAGAAACTTATTTGTGATGTGCGCCCTCAACTAACAGTGTTGAAGCTTTCTTTTGATAGAGCAGTTTTGAAACACTCTTTTTGTGGAATCTGCAAGTGGATATTTGTCTAGCTTTGAGGATTTCGTTGGAAACGGGATTACATATAAAAAGCAGACAGCAGCATTCTCAGTAAACTTATTTGTGATGTGCGCCCTCAACTAACAGTGTTGAACCTTTCTTTTGATAGAGCAGTTTTGAAACACTCTTTTTGTAATATCTGCAAGAGGATATTTGGATAGCTTTGAGGATTTCGTTGGAAACGGGATTGTCTTCATATAAACTCTAGACAGAAGCATTCTCAGAAGCTTCATTGGGATGTTTCAATTGAAGTCACAGTGTTGAACAGTCCCTTTCATAGAGCAGGTTTGAAACACTCTTTTTGTAGTATCTGGAAGTGGACATTTGGAGAGATCTCAGGACTACGGTGAAAAAGGAAATATCTTCCAATAAAAGCTAGATAGAAGCAATGTCAGAAACATTTTCATGATGTATCTACTCAGCTAACAGAGTTGAACCTTTCTTTCGAGAGAGCAGTTTTGAAACACTCTTTTTGTGGAATCTGCAAGTGGATATTTGTCTAGCTTTGAGGATTTCGTTGGAAACGCGATTACATATAAAAAGCAGACAGCAGCATTCCCAGAAACTTCTTTGTGATGTTTGCATTCAAGTCACAGAGTTGAACATTCCCTTTCATAGAGCAGGTTTGAAACACTCTTTTTGTAGTATCTGGATGTGGACATTTGGAGCGCTTTCAGGCCTATGGTGAAAAAGGAAATATCTTCCCCTGAAAACTAGACAGAAGCATTCTCAGAATCTTATTTGTGATGTGCACCCTCAACTAACAGTGTTGAACCTTTCTTTTGATAGAGCAGTTTTGAAACACTCTTTTTGTAAAATCTGCAATAGGATATTTGGTTAGCTTTGAGGATTTCGTTGGAAACGGGATTGTCTTCATATAAAATCTAGACAGAAGCATTCTCAGAAGCTTCATTGGGATGTTTCAATTGAAGTCACAGTGTTGAACAGTCCCTTTCATAGAGCAGGTTTGAAACACTCTTTTTGTAGTATCTGGATGTGGACATTTGGAGCGCTTTCAGGCCTATGGTTTAAAAGGAAATATCTTCCCCTGAAAACTAGACAGAAGCATTCTCAGAAACTTATTTGTGATGTGCGCCCTCAACTAACAGTGTTGAACCTTTCTTTTGATAGAGCAGTTTTGAAACACTCTTTTTGTAATATCTGCAAGAGGATATTTGGATAGCTTTGAGGATTTCGTTGGAAACGGGATTACATATAAAAAGCAGACAGCAGCATTCTCAGAATCTTATTTGTGATGTGCACCCTCAACTAACAGTGTTGAAGCTTTCTTTTGATAGAGCAGTTTTGAAACACTCTTTTTGTAAAATCTGCAAGAGGATATTTGGATAGCTTTGAGGATTTCGTTGGAAACGGGATTGTCTTCATATAAACTCTAAACAGAAGCATTCTCAGAAGCTTCATTGGGATGTTTCAATTGAAGTCACAGTGTTGAACAGTTCCTTTCATAGAACAGGTTTGAAACACTCTTTTTGTAGTATCTGGAAGTGGACATTTGGAGCGCTCTCAGGACTATGGTTAAAAAGGAAATATCTTCCAATAAAAGCTACATAGAAGCAATGTGAGAAACTTTTTCATGATGTATCTACTCAGCTAAAAGAGTTGAACCTTTCTTTTGAGAGAGCAGTTTTGAAACACTCATTTTGTGGAGTCTGCAAGTGGATATTTGTCTAGCTTTGAGGATTTCTTTGGAAACGGGATTACATATAAAAAGCAGACAGCGACATTCCCAGAAACTTCTTTGTGATGTTTGCATTCAAGTCACAGAGTTGAACATTCCCTTTCATAGAGCAGGTTTGAAACAATCTTTTTGTAGTATCTGGATGTGGACATTTACAGCGCTTTCAGGCCTAAGGTGAAAAAGGAAATATCTTCCCCTGAAAACTAGACAGAAGCATTCTCAGAAACTTATTTGTGATGTGCGCCCTCAACTAACAGTGTTGAAGCTTTCTTTTGATAGAGCAGTTTTGAAACACTCTTTTTGTGGAATCTGCAAGTGGATATTTGTCTAGCTTTGAGGATTTCGTTGGAAACGGGATTACATATAAAAAGCAGACAGCAGCATTCCCAGTAACTACTTTGTGATGTTTGCATTCAAGTCGGAGAGTTGAACATTCCCTTTCATAGAGCAGGTTTGAAACACTCTTTTTGAAGTATCTGGTTGTGGACATTTGGAGCGCTTTCTGGCCTATGGTGAAAAAGGAAATATCTTCCCCTGAAAACTAGACAGAAGCATTCTCAGAAACTTATTTGTGATGTGCGCCCTCAACTAACAGTGTTGAACCTTTCTTTTGATAGAGCAGTTTTGAAACACTCTTTTTGTAATATCTGCAAGAGGATATTTGGATAGCTTTGAGGATTTCGTTGGAAACGGGATTGTCTTCATATAAACTCTAGACAGAAGAATTCTCAGAAGCTTCATTGGGATGTTTCAATTGAAGTCACAGTGTTGAACAGTCCCTTTCATAGAGCAGGTTTGAAACACTCTTTTTGTAGTATCTGGATGTGGACATTTGGAGCTTTTGCAGGCCTATAGTTTAAAAGGAAATATCTTCCCCTGAAAACTAGACAGAAAGCATTCTCAGAAACTTATTTGTTATGTGCGCCCTCAACTAACAGTGTTGAAGCATTCTTTTGATAGAGCAGTTTTGAAACACTCTTTTTGTGGAATCTGCAAGTGGATATTTGTCTAGCTTTGAGGATTTCGTTGGAAACGGGATTACATATAAAAAGCAGACAGCAGCATTCTCAGTAAACTTATTTGTGATGTGCGCCCTCAACTAACAGTGTTGAACCTTTCTTTTGATAGAGCAGTTTTGAAACACTCTTTTTGTAATATCTGCAAGAGGATATTTGGATAGCTTTGAGGATTTCGTTGGAAACGGGATTGTCTTCATATAAACTCTAGACAGAAGCATTCTCAGAAGCTTCATTGGGATGTTTCAATTGAAGTCACAGTGTTGAACAGTCTCTTTCATAGAGCAAGTTTGAAACACTCTTTTTGTAGTATCTGGAAGTGGACATTTGGAGAGATCTCAGGAATACGGTGATAAAGGAAATATCTTCCAATAAAAGCTAGATAGAAGCAATGTCAGACACTTTTTCATGATGTATCTACTCAGCTAACAGAGTTGAACCTTTCTTTTGAGAGAGCAGTTTTGAAACACTCTTTTTGTGGAATCTGCAAGTGGATATTTCTCTAGCTTTGAGGATTTCGTTGGAAACGGGATTACATATAAAAAGCAGACAGCAGCATTCCCAGAAACTTCTTTGTGAAGTTTGCATTCAAGTCACAGAGTTGAACATTCCCTTTCATAGAGCAGGTTTGAAACACTCTTTTTGTAGTATCTGTATGTGGACATTTGGAGCGCTTTCAGGCCTATGGTGAAAAAGGAAATATCTTCCCCTGAAAACTAGACAGAAAGCATTCTCAGTAAACTTATTTGTGATGTGCGCCCTCAACTAACAGTGTTGAACCTTTCTTTTGATAGAGCAGTTTTGAAACACTCTTTTTGTAATATCTGCAAGAGGATATTTGGATAGCTTTGAGGATTTCGTTGGAAACGGGATTGTCTTCATATAAACTCTAGACAGAACCATTCTCAGAAGCTTCAATGGGATGTTTCAATTGAAGTCACAGTGTTGAACAGTTCCTTTCATAGAGCAGGTTTGAAACACTCTTTTTGTAGTATCTGGAAGTGGACATTTGGAGCGCTCTCAGGACTAAGGTGATAAAGGAAATATCTTCCAATAAAAGCTAGATTGAAGCATTCTCAGAAACTTATTTGTGATGTGCGCCCTCAACTAACAGTGTTGAAGCATTCTTTTGATAGAGCAGTTTTGAAACACTCTTTTTGTGGAATCTGCAAGTGGATATTTGTCTAGCTTTGAGGATTTCGTTGGAAACGGGATTACATATAAAAAGCAGACAGCAGCATTCTCAGTAAACTTATTTGTGATGTGCGCCCTCAACTAACAGTGTTGAACCTTTCTTTTGATAGAGCAGTTTTGAAACACTCTTTTTGTAATATCTGCAAGAGGATATTTGGATAGCTTTGAGGATTTCGTTGGAAACGGGATTGTCTTCATATAAACTCTAGACAGAAGCATTCTCAGAAGCTTCATTGGGATGTTTCAATTGAAGTCACAGTGTTGAACATTTCCTTTCATAGAACAGGTTTGAAACACTCTTTTTGTAGTATCTGGAAGTGGACATTTGGAGCGCTCTCAGGACTATGGTGAAAAAGGAAATATCTTCCAATAAAAGCTACATAGAAGCAATGTCAGAAACTTTTTCATGATGTATCTACTCAGCTAACAGCAGTTGAACCTTTCTTTTGAGACAGCAGTTTTGAAACACTCTTTTTGTGGAATCTGGAAGTGGATATTTGTCTAGCTTTGAGGATTTCGTTGGAAACGGGATTACATATAAAAAGCAGACAGCAGCATTCCCAGTAACTTGTTTGTGATGTTTCCATTCAAGTGACAGAGTTGAACATTCCCTTTCATAGAGTAGGTTTGAAACACTCTTTTTGTAGTATCTCGATGTGGACATTTGGAGCGCTTTCAGGCCTATGGTGAAAAAGGAAATATCTTCCCCTGAAAACTAGACAGAAGCATTCTCAGAATCTTATTTATGATGTGCGCCCTCAACTAACAGTGTTGAACCTTTCTTTTGATAGAGCAGTTTTGAAACACTCTTTTCGTAAAATCTGCAAGAGGATATTTTGATAGCTTTGAGGATTTCGTTGGAAACGGGATTGTCTTCATATAAACTCTAGACAGAAGCATTCTCAGAAGCTTCATTGGGATGTTTCAATTGAAGTCACAGTGTTGAACAGTCCCTTTGATAGAGCAGGTTTGAAACACTCTTTTTGTAGTATCTGGATGTGGACATTTGCAGCGCTTTCAGGCATAAGGTGAAAAAGGAAATATCTTCCCCTGAAAACTAGACAGAAGCATTCTCAGAAACTTATTTGTGATGTGCGCCCTCAACTAACAGTGTTGAAGCATTCTTTTGATAGAGCAGTATTGAAACACTCTTTTTGTGGAATCTGCAAGTGGATATTTGTCTAGCTTTGAGGATTTCGTTGGAAAAGGGATTACATATAAAAAGCAGACAGCTAAGCATTCTCCGAAACTTATTTGTGATGGGCGCCCTCAACTAACAGTGTTGAAGCTTTCTTTTGATAGAGCAGTTTTGAAACACTCTTTTTGTAATATCTGCAAGAGGATATTTGGATAGCTTTCAGGATTTCGTTGGAAACGGGATTGTCTTCATATAAACTCTAGACATAAGCATTCTCAGAAGCTTCATTGGGATGTTTCAATTGAAGTCACAGTGTTGAACAGTCCCTTTCATGGAGCAGGTTTGAAACACTCTTTTTGTAGTATCTGGAAGTGGACATTTGGAGCGTTCTCAGGACTACGGTGAAAAAGGAAATATCTTCCAATAAAAGCTAGATAGAAGCAATGTCAGAAAATTTTTCATGATGTATCTACTCAGCTAACAGAGTTGAACCTTTCTTTTGAGAGAGCCGTTTTGAAACACTCTTTTTGTGGAATCTGCAAGTGGATATTTGTCTAGCTTTGAGGATTTCGTTGGAAACGGGATTACATATAAAAAGCAGACAGCAGCATTCCCAGAATCTTCTTTGTGATGTTTGCATTCAAGTCACAGAGTTGAACATTCCCATTCATAGAGCAGGTTTGAAACACTCTTTTTGTAGTATCTGGATGTGGACATTTGGAGCGCTTTCAGGCCTATGGTGAAAAAGGAAATATCTTCCCCTGAAAACTAGATAGAAGCATTCTCAGAATCTTATTTGTGATGTGCGCCCTCAACTAACAGTGTTGAAGCTTTCTTTTGATAGAGCAGTTTTGAAACACTCTTTTTGTAAAATCTGCAAGAGGATATTTGGATAGCTTTGAGGATTTCGTTGGAAACGGGATTGTCTTCATATAAACTCTAGACAGAAGCATTCTCAGAAGCATCATGGGGATGTTTCAATTGAAGTCACAATGTTGAACAGTCCCTTTCATAGAGCAGGTTTGAAACACTCTTTTTGTAGTATCTGGATGTGGACATTTGAGCGCTTTCAGGCCTATGGTTTAAAAGGAAATATCTTCCCCTGAAAACTAGACAGAAGCATTCTCAGAAACTTATTTGTGATGTGCGCCCTCAACTAACAGTGTTGAAGCTTTCTTTTGATAGAGCAGTTTTGAAACACTCTTTTTGTGGAATCTGCAAGTGGATATTTGTCTAGCTTTGAGGATTTCGTTGGAAACGGGATTACATATAAAAAGCAGACAGCAGCATTCTCAGTAAACTTATTTGTGATGTGCGCCCTCAACTAACAGTGTTGAACCTTTCTTTTGATAGAGCAGTTTTGAAACACTCTTTTTGTAATATCTGCAAGAGGATATTTGGATAGCTTTGAGGATTTCGTTGGAAACGGGATTGTCTTCATATAAACTCTAGACAGAAGGATTCTCAGAAGCTTCATTGGGATGTTTCAATTGAAGTCACAGTGTTGAACAGTCCCTTTCGTAGAGCAGGTTTGAAACACTCTTTTTGTAATATCTGGAAGTGGACATTTGGAGCGTTCTCAGGACTATGGTGAAAAAGGAAATATCTTCCAATAAAAGCTAGATAGAAGCAATGTCAGAAAATTTTTCATGATGTATCTATTCAGCTAACAGAGTTGAACCTTTCTTTTGACAGAGCAGTTTTGAAACACTCTTTTTGTGGAATCTGCAAGTGGAAATTTGTCTAGCTTTGAGGATTTCGTTGGAAACGGGATTACATATAAAAAGCAGACAGCAGCATTCCCAGAAACTTCATTGTGATGTTTGCATTCAAGTCACAGAGTTGAACATTCCCTTTCATAGAGCAGGTTTGAAACATTCTTTTTGTAGTATCTGGATGTGGACATTTGGAGCGCTTTCAGGCCTATGGTGAAAAAGGAAATATCTTCCCATGAAAACTAGACAGAAGCATTCTCAGAAACTTATTTGTGATGTGCGCCCTCAACTAACAGTGTTAAACCTTTCTTTTGATAGAGTAGTTTTGAAACACTCTTTTTGTAAAATCTGCAAGAGGATATTTGGATAGCTTTGAGGATTTCGTTGGAAACGGGATTGTCTTCATATAAAATCTAGACAGAAGCATTCTCAGAAGCTTCATTGGGATGTTTCAATTGAAGTCACAGTGTTGAACAGTCCCTTTCATAGAGCAGGTTTGAAACACTCTTTTTGTAGTATCTGGAAGAGGACATTTGGAGCGCTCTCAGGACTACGGTGAAAAAGGAAATATCTTCCAATAAAAGGTAGAGAGAAGCATTCTCAGAAACTTATTTGTGATGTGCGCCTTCAACTAACAGTGTTGAAGCATTCTTTTGATAGAGCAGTTTTGAAACACTCTTTTTGTGGAATCTGCAAGTGGATATTTGTCTAGCTTTGAGGATTTCGTTGGAAACGGGATTACATATAAAAAGCAGACAGCAGCATTCTCAGTAAACTTATTTGTGATGTGCGCCCTCAACTAACAGTGTTGAACCTTTCTTTTGATAGAGCAGTTTTGAAACACTCTTTTTGTAATATCTGCAAGAGGATATTTGGATAGCTTTGAGGATTTCGTTGGAAACGGGATTGTCTTCATATAAACTCTAGACAGAAGCATTCTCAGAAGCTTCATTGGGATGTTTCAATTGAAGTCACAGTGTTGAACAGTCCCTTTCATAGAGCAGGTTTGAAACACTCTTTTTGTAGTATCTGGAAGTGGACATTTGGAGAGTTCTCAGGAATACGGTGATAAAGGAAATATCTTCCAATAAAAGCTAGATAGAAGCAATGTCAGAAACTTTTTCATGATGTATCTACTCAGCTAACAGAGTTGAACCTTTCTTTTGAGAGAGCAGTTTTGAAACACTCTTTTTGTGGAATCTGCAAGTGGATATTTGTCTAGCTTTGAGGATTTCGTTGGAAACGGGATTACATATAAAAAGCAGACAGCAGCATTCCCAGAATCTTGTTTGTGATCTTTGCTTTCAAGTCACAGAGTTGAAGATTCCCTTTCAGAGAGCAGGTTTGAAACACTCTTTTTATAGTATCTGGATGTGGACATTTGGAGCGCTTTCAGGCCTATGGTGAAAAAGGAAATATCTTCTCCTGAAAACTAGACAGAAGCATTCTCAGAATCTTATTTGTGATGTGCGCCCTCAACTAACAGTGTTGAAGCTTTCTTTTGATAGAGCAGTTTTGAAACACTCTTTTTGTAAAATCTGCAAGAGGATATTTGGATAGCTTTGAGGATTTCGTTGGAAACGGGATTGTCTTCATATAAACTCTAGACAGAAGCATTCTCAGAAGCTTCATTGGGATGTTTCAATTGAAGTCACAGTGTTGAACAGTCCCTTTCATAGAGCAGGTTTGAAACACTCTTTTTGTAGTATCTGGATGTGGTCATTTGGAGCGCTTTCAGGCCTATGGTGAAAAAGGAAATATCTTCCCCTGAAAACTAGACAGAAGCATTCTCAGAATCTTATTTGTGATGTGCGCCCTCAACTAACAGTGTTGAAGCTTTCTTTTGACAGAGCAGTTTTGAAACACTCTTTTTATCTGCAAGTGGATATTTGTCTAGCTTTGAGGATTTCGTTGGAAACGGGATTACATATAAAAAGCAGACAGCAGCATTCTCAGTAAACTTATTTGTGATGTGCGCCCTCAACTAACAGTGTTGAACCTTTCTTTTGATAGAGCAGTTTTGAAACACTCTTTTTGTAATATCTGCAAGAGGATATTTGGATAGCTTTGAGGATTTCGTTGGAAACGGGATTGTCTTCATATAAACTCTAGACAGAAGCATTCTCAGAAGCTTCCTTGGGATGTTTCAATTGAAGTCACAGTGTTGAACAGTCCCTTTCATAGAGCAGGTTTGAAACACACTTTTTGTAGTATCTGGAAGTGGACATTTGGAGCGCTCTCAGGACTGCGGTGAAAAAGGAAATATCTTCCAATAAAAGCTAGATAGAAGCAATGTCAGAAACTTTTTCATGATGTGTCTACTCAGCTAACAGAGTTGAACCTTTCTTTTGAGAGAGCAGTTTTGAAACACTCTTTTTGTGGAATCTGGAAGTGGATATTTGTCTAGCTTTGAGGATTTCGTTGGAAACGGGATTACATATAAAAAGCAGGCAGCAGCATTCCCAGAATCTTGTTTGTGATGTTTGCATTGAAGTCACAGAGTTGAACATTCCCTTTCAGAGAGCAGGTTTGAAACACTCTTTTTATAGTGTCTGGATGTGAACATTTTGAGCGCTTTCAGGTCTATGGTGAAAAAGGAAATATCTTCTCCTGAAAACTAGACAGAAGCATTCTCAGAATCTTATTTGTGATGTGCGCCCTCAACTAACAGTGTTGAAGCTTTCTTTTGATAGAGCAGTTTTGAAACACTCTTTTCGTAAAATCTGCAAGAGGATATTTGGATAGCTTTGAGGATTTCGTTGGAAACGGGATTGTTTTCATATAAACTCTAGACAGAAGCATTCTCAGAAGCTTCATTGGGATGTTTCAATTGAAGTCACAGTGTTGAACAGTCCCTTTCATAGAGCAGGTTTGAAACACTCTTTTTGTAGTATCTGGATGTGGACATTTGGAGCGCTTTCAGGCCTATGGTGAAAAAGGAAATATCTTCCCCTGAAAACTAGACAGAAGCATTCTCAGAAACTTATTTGTGATGTGCGCCTTCAACTAACAGTGTTGAAGCATCCTTTTGATAGAGCAGTTTTGAAACACTCTTTTTGTGGAATCTGCAAGTGGATGGATATTTGTCTAGCTTTGAGGATTTCGTTGGAAACGGGATTACATATAAAAAGCAGACAGCAGCATTCCCAGAAACTTCTTTGTGATGTTTGCATTCAAGTCACAGAGTTGAACATTCCCTTTCAGAGAGCAGGTTTGAAACACTCTTTTTGTAGTATCTGGATGTGGACATTTGGAGCGCTTTCAGGCCTATGGTGAAAAAGGAAATATCTTCCCCTGAAAACTAGACAGAAGCATTCTCAGAATCTTATTTGTGATGTGCGCCCTCAACTAACAGTGTTGAAGCTTTCTTTTGATAGAGCAGTTTTGAAACACTCTTTTTGTAAAATCTGCAAGAGGATATTTGGATGGCTTTGAGGATTTCTTTGGAAACGGGATTGTCTTCATATAAACTCTAGACAGAAGCATTCTCAGAAGCTTCATTGGGATGTTTCAATTGAAGTCACAGTGTTGAACAGTCCCTTTCATAGAGCAGGTTTGAAACACTCTTTTTGTAGTATCTGGATGTGGACATTTGGAGCGCTTTCAGGCCTATGGTTTAAAAGGAAATATCTTCCCCTGAAAACTAGACAGAAGCATTCTCAGAAACTTATTTGTGATGTGCGCCCTCAACTAACAGTGTTGAAGCTTTCTTTTGATAGAGCAGTTTTGAAACACTCTTTTTGTGGAATCTGCAAGTGGATATTTGTCTAGCTTTGAGGATTTCGTTGGAAACGGGATTACATATAAAAAGCAGACAGCAGCATTCTCAGTAAACTTATTTGTGATGTGCGCCCTCAACTAACAGTGTTGAACCTTTCTTTTGATAGAGCAGTTTTGAAACACTCTTTTTGTAATATCTGCAAGAGGATATTTGGATAGCTTTGAGGATTTCGTTGGAAACGGGATTGTCTTCATATAAACTCTAGACAGAAGCATTCTCAGAAGCTTCATTGGGATGTTTCAATTGAAGTCACAGTGTTGAACAGTCCCTTTCATAGAGCAGGTTTGAAACACTCTTTTTGTAGTATCTGGAAGTGGACATTTGGAACGCTCTCAGGACTGCGGTGAAAAAGGAAATATCTTCCAATAAAAGCTAGATAGAAGCAATGTCAGAAACTTTTTCATGATGTATCTACTCAGCTAACAGAGTTGAACCTTTCTTTTGAGAGAGCAGTTTTGAAACACTCTTTTTGTGGAATCTGCAAGTGGATATTTGTCTAGCTTTGAGGATTTCGTTGGAAACGGGATTACATATAAAAAGCAGACAGCAGCATTCCCAGAATCTTCTTTGTGATGTTTGCATTCAAGTCACAGAGTTGAACATTCCCTTTCATAGAGCAGGTTTGAAACACTCTTTTTGTAGTATCTGGATGTGGACATTTGGAGCGCTTTCAGGCCTATGGTGAAAATGGAAATATCTTCTCCTGAAAACTAGACAGAAGCATTCTCAGAATCTTATTTGTGATGTGCGCCCTCAACTAACAGTGTTGAAGCTTTCTTTTGATAGAGCAGTTTTGAAACACTCTTTTTGTAAAATTTGCAAGAGGATATTTGGATAGCTTTGAGGATTTCATTGGAAACGGGATTGTCTTCATATAAACTCTAGACAGAAAGCATTCTCAGAAGCTTCATTGGGATGTTTCAATTGAAGTCACAGTGTTGAACAGTCCCTTTCATAGAGCAGGTTTGAAACACTCTTTTTGTAGTATCTGGATGTGGACATTTGGAGCGCTTTCAGGCCTATGGTGAAAAAGGAAATATCTTCCCCTGAAAACTAGACAGAAGCATTCTCAGAAACTTATTTGTGATGTGCGCCCTCAACTAACAGTGTTGAAGCTTTCTTTTGATAGAGCAGTTTTGAAACACTCTTTTTGTGGAATCTGCATCTGGATATTTTTCTAGCTTTGAGGATTTCGTTGGAAACGGGATTACATATAAAAAGCAGTCAGCAGCATTCTCAGAAACTTATTTGTGATGTGCGCCCTCAACTAACAGTGTTGAAGCTTTCTTTTGATAGAGCAGTTTTGAAACACTCTTTTTGTAATATCTGCAAGAGGATATTTGGATAGCTTTGAGGATTTCGTTGGAAACGGGATTAATTATACAAAGCAGACAGCAGCATTCTCAGAACCTTCATTGGGATGTTTCAATTGAAGTCACAGTGTTGAACAGTCCCTTTCATAGAGCAGGTTTGAAACACTCTTTTTGTAGTATCTGGAAGTGGACATTTGGAGAGATCTCAGGAATACGGTGATAAAGGAAATATCTTCCAATAAAAGCTAGATAGAAGCAATGTCAGAAACTTTTTCATGATGTATCTACTCAGCTAACAGAGTTGAACCTTTCTTTTGAGAGAGCTGTTTTGAAACACTCTTTTTGTGGAATCTGCAAGTGGATATTTGTCTAGCTTTGAGGATTTCGTTGGAAACGGGATTACATATAAAAAGCAGACAGCAGCATTCCCAGAAACTTCTTTGTGATGTTTGCATTCAAGTCACAGAGTTGAACATTCCCTTTCATAGAGCAGGTTTGAAACACTCTTTTTGTAGTATCTGGATGTGGACATTTGGAGCGCTTTCAGGCCTATGGTGAAAAAGGAAATATCTTCCCCTGAAAACTAGACAGAAGCATTCTGAGAAACTTATTTGTGATGTGCGCCCTCAACTAACGGTGTTGAACCTTTCTTTTGATAGAGCAGTTTTGAAACACTCTTTTTGTAATATCTGCAAGAGGATATTTGGATAGCTTTGATGATTTCGTTGGAAACGGGATTGTCTTCATATAAACTCTAGACAGAAGCATTCTCAGAAGCTTCATTGGGATGTTTCAATTGAAGTCACAGTGTTGAACAGTCCCTTTCATAGAGCAGGTTTGAAACACTCTTTTTGTAGTATCTGGATGTGGACATTTAGAGCGCTTTCAGGCCTATGGTGAAAAAGGAAATATCTTCCCCTGAAAACTAGACAGAAGCATTCTCAGAAACTTATTTGTGATGTGCGCCCTCAACTAACAGTGTTGAAGCATTCTTTTGATAGAGCAGTTTTGAAACACTCTTTTTGTGGAATCTGCAAGTGGATATTTGTCTAGCTTTGAGGATTTCGTTGGAAACGGGATTACATATAAAAAGCAGACAGCAGCATTCTCAGAAACTTATTTGTGATGTGCGCCCTCAACTAACAGTGTTGAAGCTTTCTTTTGATAGAGCAGTTTTGAAACACTCTTTTTGTAATATCTGCAAGAGGATATTTGGATAGCTTTGAGGATTTCGTTGGAAACGGGATTAATTATACAAAGCAGACAGCAGCATTCTCAGAAGCTTCATTGGGATGTTTCAATTGAAGTCACAGTGTTGAACAGTCCCTTTCATAGAGCAGGTTTGAAACACTCTTTTTGTAGTATCTGGAAGTGGACATTTGGAGAGATCTCAGGAATACGGTGATAAAGGAAATATCTTCCAATAAAAGCTAGATAGAAGCAATGTCAGAAACTTTTTCATGATGTATCTACTCAGCTAACAGAGTTGAACCTTCCTTTGAGAGAGCAGTTTTGAAACACTCTTTTTGTGGAATCTGCAAGTGGATATTTGTCTAGCTTTGAGGATTTCGTTGGAAACGGGATTACATATAAAAAGCAGCCAGCAGCGTTCCCAGAAACTTCTTTGTGATGTTTGCATTCAAGTCACAGAGTTGAACATTCCCTTTCATAGAGCAGGTTTGAAACACTCTTTTTGTAGTATCTGGTTGTGGACATTTGCAGCGCTTTCAGGCCTAAGGTGAAAAAGGAAATATCTTCCCCTGAAAACTAGACAGAAGCATTCTCAGAAACTTATTTGTGATGTGCGCCCTCAACTAACAGTGTTGAACTTTTCTTTTGATAGAGCGGTTTTGAAACACTCTTTTTGTAAAATCTGCAAGAGGATATTTGGATAGCTTTGAGGATTTCGTTGGAAACGGGATTGTCTTCATATAAAATCTAGACAGAAGCATTCCCAGAAAACTTCTTTGTGATGTTTGCATTCACGTCACAGAGTTGAACATTCCCTTTCATAGAGCAGGTTTGAAACACTCTTTTTGTAGTATCTGGATGTGGACATTTGGAGCGCTTTCAGGCCTATGGTGAAAAAGGAAATATCTTCCCCTGAAAACTAGACAGAAGCATTCTCAGAAACTTATTTGTGATGTGCGCCCTCAACTAACAGTGTTGAAGCTTTCTTTTGATAGAGCAGTTTTGAAACACTCTTTTTGTAATATCTGCAAGAGGATATTTGGATAGCTTTGAGGATTTCGTTGGAAACGGGATTAATTATAAAAAGCAGACAGCAGCATTCTCAGTAAACTTATTTGTGATGTGCGCCCTCAACTAACAGTGTTGAACCTTTCTTTTGATAGAGCAGTTTTGAAACACTCTTTTTGTAATATCTGCAAGAGGATATTTGGATAGCTTTGAGGATTTCGTTGGAAACGGGATTGTCTTCATATAAACTCTAGACAGAAGCATTCTCAGAAGCTTCATTGGGATGTTTCAATTGAAGTCACAGTGTTGAACAGTCCCTTTCATAGAGCAGGTTTGAAACACTCTTTTTGTAGTATCTGGAAGTGGACATTTGGAGCGCTCTCAGGACTGCGGTGAAAAAGGAAATATCTTCCAATAAAAGCTAGATAGAAGCAATGTCAGAAAATTTTTCATGATGTATCTATTCAGCTAACAGAGTTGAACCTTTCTTTTGACAGAGCAGTTTTGAAACACTCTTTTTGTGGAATCTGCAAGTGGATATTTGTCTAGCTTTGAGGATTTCGTTGGAAACGGGATTACATATAAAAAGCAGACAGCAGCATTCCCAGTAACTTCTTTGTGATGTTTGCATTCAAGTCACAGAGTTGAACATTCCCTTTCATAGAGCAGGTTTGAAACACTTTTTTTGTAGTATCTGGATGTGGACTTTTGGAGCGCTTTCAGGCCTATGGTGAAAAAGGAAATATCTTCCAATAAAAGCTATATAGAAGCATTCTCAGAAACTTATTTGTGATGTGCGCCCTCAACTAACAGTGTTGAACCTTTCTTTTGATAGAGCAGTTATGAAACACTCTTTTTGTAATATCTGCAAGAGGATATTTGGATAGCTTTGAGGATTTCGTTGGAAACGGGATTGTCTTCATATAAACTCTAGACAGAAGCATTCTCAGAAGCTTCATTGGGATGTTTCAATTGAAGTCACAGTGTTGAACAGTCCCTTTCATAGAGCAGGTTTGAAACACTCTTTTTGTAGTATCTGGATGTGGACATTTCGAGCGCTTTCAGGCCTATGGTGAAAAAGGAAATATCTTCCCCTGAAAACTAGACAGAAGCATTCTCAGAAACTTATTTGTGATTTGCGCCCTCAACTAACAGTGTTGAAGCTTTCTTTTGATAGAGCAGTTTTGAAACACTCTTTTTGTGGAATCTGCAAGTGGATATTTGTCTAGCTTTGAGGATTTCATTGGAAACGGGATTACATAAAAAAAGCAGACAGCAGCATTCTCAGAAACTTATTTGTGATGTGCGCCCTCAACTAACAGTGTTGAAGCTTTCTTTTGATAGAGCAGTTTTGAAACACTCTTTTTGTAATATCTGCAAGAGGATATTTGGATAGCTTTGAGGATTTCGTTGGAAACGGGATTAATTATACAAAGCAGACAGCAGCATTCTGAGAAGCTTCATTGGGATGTTTCAATAGAAGTCACAGTGTTGAACAGTCCCTTTCATAGAGCAGGTTTGAAACACTCTTTTTGTCATATCTGGAAGTGGACATTTGGAGCGTTCTCAGGACTACAGTGAAAAAGGAAATATCTTCCAATAAAAGCTAGATAGAAGCAATGTCAGAAACTTTTTCATGATGTATCTACTCAGCTAACAGAGTTGAACCTTTCTTTTGAGAGAGCAGTTTTGAAACACTCTTTTTGTGGAATCTGCAAGTGGATATTTGTCTAGCTTTGAGGATTTCGTTGGAAACGGGATTACATATAAAAAGCAGACAGCAGCATTCCCAGAAACTTCTTTGTGTTGTTTGCATTCAAGTCACAGAGTTGAACAATCCCTTTCATAGAGCAGGTTTGAAACACTCTTTTTGTAGTATCTGGATGTGGACATTTGCAGCGCTTTCAGGCCTAAGGTGAAAAAGGAAATATCTTCCCCTGAAAACTAGACAGAAGCATTCTCAGAAACTTATTTGTGATGTGCGCCCTCAACTAACAGTGTTGAAGCTTTCTTTTGATAGAGCAGTTTTGAAACACTCTTTTTGTAATATCTGCAAGAGGATATTTGGATAGCTTTGAGGATTTCGTTGGAAACGGGATTGTCTTCATATAAACTCTAGACAGAAGCATTCTCAGAAGCTTCATTGGGATGTTTCAATTGAAGTCACAGTGTTGAACAGTCCCTTTCATAGAGCAGGTTTGAAACACTCTTTTTGTAGTATCTGGATGTGGACATTTGGAGCGCTTTCAGGCCTATGGTGAAAAAGGAAATATCTTCCCCTGAAAACTAGACAGAAGCATTCTCAGAAACTTATTTGTGATGTGCGCCCTCAACTAACAGTGTTGAAGCATTCTTTTGATAGAGCAGTTTTGAAACACTCTTTTTGTGGAATCTGCAAGTGGATATTTGTCTAGCTTTGAGGATTTCGTTGGAAACGGGATTACATATAAAAAGCAGACAGCAGCATTCTCAGAAACTTATTTGTGATGTGCGCCCTCAAATAACAGTGTTGAACCTTTCTTTTGATAGAGCAGTTTTGAAACACTCTTTTTGTAATATCTGCAAGAGGATATTTGGATAGCTTTGAGGATTTCGTTGGAAACGGTATTGTCTTCATATAAACTCTAGACAGAAGCATTCTCAGAAGCTTCATTGGGATGTTTCAATTGAAGTCACAGTGTTGAACAGTTCCTTTCATAGAACAGGTTTGAAACACTCTTTTTGTAGTATCTGGAAGTGGACATTTGGAGCGCTCTCAGGACAACGGTGAAAAAGGAAATATCTTCCAATAAAAGCTACATAGAAGCAATGTCAGAAAATTTTTCATGATGTATCTACTCAGCTAACAGAGTTGAAACTTTCTTTTGAGAGAGCAGGTTGGAAACACTCTTTTTGTGGAATCTGCAAGTGGATATTTGTCTAGCTTTGAGGATTGCGTTTGAAACGGGATTACATATAAAAAGCAGACAGCAGCATTCCCAGAAACTTCTTTGTGATGTTTGCATTCAAGTCACAGAGTTGAACATTCCCTTTCATAGAGCAGGTTTGAAACACTCTTTTTGTAGTATCTGGAAGTGGACATTTTTAGCGCTGTCAGGACTACGGTGAAAAAGGAAATATCTTCCAATAAAAGCTAGATAGAAGCATTCTCAGAAACTTATTTGTGATGTGCGCCCTCAACTAACAGTGTTGAAGCTTTCTTTTGATAGAGCAGTTTTGAAACACTCTTTTTGTAATATCTGCAAGAGGATATTTGGATAGCTTTGAGGATTTCGTTGGAAACGGGATTGTCTTCATATAAACTCTAGACAGAAGCATTCTCAGTAAGCTTCATTGGGATGTTTCAATTGAAGTCACAGTGTTGAACAGTCCCTTTGATAGAGCAGGTTTGAAACACTCTTTTTGTAGTATCTGGATGTGGACATTTGCAGCGCTTTCAGGCATAAGGTGAAAAAGGAAATATCTTCCCCTGAAAACTAGACAGAAGCATTCTCAGAAACTTATTTGTGATGTGCGCCCTCAACTAACAGTGTTGAAGCATTCTTTTGATAGAGCAGTTTTGAAACACTCTTTTTGTGGAATCTGCAAGTGGATATTTGTCTAGCTTTGAGGATTTCGTTGGAAACGGGATTACATATAAAAAGCAGACAGCAGCATTCTCAGAAACTTATTTGTGATGTGCGCCCTCAACTAACAGTGTTGAAGCTTTCTTTTGATAGAGCAGTTTTGAAACACTCTTTTTGTAATATCTGCAAGAGGATATTTGGATAGCTTTGAGGATTTCGTTGGAAACGGGATTAATTATACAAAGCAGACAGCAGTATTCTCAGAAGCTTCATTGGGATGTTTCAATTGAAGTCACAGTGTTGAACAGTCCCTTTCATAGAGCAGGTTTGAAACACTCTTTTTGTAGTATCTGGAAGTGGACATTTGGAGCGCTCTCAGGACTACGGTGATAAAGGAAATATCCTCCAATAAAAGCTAGATAGAAGCAATGTCAGAAACTTTTTCATAATGTATCTACTCAGCTAACAGAGTTGAACCTTTTTTTTGAGAGAGCAGTTTTGAAACAATCTTTTTGTTGGATCTGCAGGTGGATATTTGTCTAGGTTTGAGGATTTCGTTGGAAACGGGATTACATATAAAAAGCAGACAGCAGCATTCCCAGAAACTTCTTTGTGATGTTTGCATTCAAGTCACAGAGTTGAACATTCCCTTTCATAGAGCAGGTTTGAAACACTCTTTTTGTAGTATCTGGATGTGGACATTTGGAGCGCTCTCAGGCCTATGGTGAAAAAGGAAATATCTTCCCCTGAAAACTAGACAGAAGCATTCTCAGAAACTTATTTGTGATGTGCGCCGTCAACTAACAGTGTTGAACCTTTCTTTTGATAGAGTAGTTTTGAAACACTCTTTTTGTAAAATCTGCAAGAGGATATTTGGATAGCTTTGAGTATTTCGTTGGAAACGGGATTGTCTTCATATAAACTCTAGACAATAGCATTCTCAGAAGCTTCATTGGGATGTTTCAATTGAAGTCACAGTGTTGAACAGTCCCTTTCATAGAACAGGTTTGAAACACTCTTTTTGTAGTATCTGGATGTGGACATTTGGAGCGCTTTCAGGCCTACGGTGAAAAAGGAAATATCTTCCCCTGAAAACTAGACAGAAGCATTCTCAGAAACTTATTTGTGATGTGCGCCCTCAACTAACAGTGTTGAAGCTTTCTTTTGATAGAGCAGTTTTGAAACACTCTTTTTGTGGAATCTGCAAGTGGATATTTGTCTAGCTTTGAGGATTTCGTTGGAAACGGGATTACATATAAAAAGCAGACAGCAGCATTCTCAGAAACTTATTTGTGATGTGCGCCCTCAACTAACAGTGTTGAAGCTTTCTTTTGATAGAGCAGTTTTGAAACACTCTTTTTGTAATATCTGCAAGAGGATATTTGGATAGCTTTGAGGATTTCGTTGGAAACGGGATTAATTATACAAAGCAGACAGCTAGCATTCTCAGAAGCTTCATTGGGATGTTTCAATTGAAGTCACAGTGTTGAACAGTCCCTTTCATAGAGCAGGTTTGAAACACTCTTTTTGTAGTATCTGGAAGTGGACATTTGGAGCGCTCTCAGGACTACGGTGATAAAGGAAATATCTTCCAATAAAAGCTAGATAGAAGCAATGTCAGAAACTTTTTCATGATGTATCTACTCAGCTAACAGAGTTGAACCTTTCTTTTGAGACAGCAGTTTTGAAACAGTCTTTTTGTGGAATCTGGAAGTGGATATTTGTCTAGCTTTGAGGATTTCGTTGGAAACGGGATTACATATAAAAAGCAGACAGCAGCATTCCCAGTAACTTCTTTGTGATGTTTGCATTCAAGTCACAAAGTTGAACATTCCCTTTCATAGAGCAGGTTTGAAACACTCTTTTTGTAGTATCTGGATGTGGACATTTGGAGCGCTTTCAGGCCTATGGTGAAAAAGGAAATATCTTCCCCTGAAAACTAGACAGAAGCATTCTCAGAAACTTATTTGTGATGTGCGCCCTCAACTAACAATGTTGAACCTTTCTGTTAATAGAGTAGTTTTGAAACACTCTTTTCGTAAAATCTGCAAGAGGATATTTGGATAGCTTTGAGGATTTCGTTGGAAACGGGATTGTCTTCATATTAACCCTGGACAGTAGCATTCTCAGAAGCATCATGGGGATGTTTCAATTGAAGTCACAATGTTGAACAGTCCCTTTCATAGAGCAGGTTTGAAACACTCTTTTTGTAGTATCTGGATGTGGACATTTGAGCGCTTTCAGGCCTATGGTTTAAAAGGAAATATCTTCCCCTGAAAACTAGACAGAAGCATTCTCAGAAACTTATTTGTGATGTGCGCCCTCAACTAACAGTGTTGAAGCTTTCTTTTGATAGAGCAGTTTTGAAACACTCTTTTTGTAATATCTGCAAGAGGATATTTGGATAGCTTTGAGGATTTCGTTGGAAACGGGATTAATTATAAAAAGCCTACAGCTAAGCATTCTCCGAAACTTATTTGTGATGGGCGCCCTCAACTAACAGTGTTGAAGCTTTCTTTTGATAGAGCAGTTTTGAAACACTCTTTTTGTAATATCTGCAAGAGGATATTTGGATAGCTTTCAGGATTTCGTTGGAAACGGGATTGTCTTCATATAAACTCTAGACATAAGCATTCTCAGAAGCTTCATTGGGATGTTTCAATTGAAGTCACAGTGTTGAACAGTCCCTTTCATAGAGCAGGTTTGAAACACTCTTTTTGTAGTATCTGGAAGTGGACATTTGGAGCGCTCTCAGGACTGCGGTGAAAAAGGAAGTATCTTCCAATAAAAGCTAGATAGAAGCAATGTCAGAAACTTTTTCATGATGTATCTACTCAGCTAACAGAGTTGAACCTTCCTTTGAGAGAGCAGTTTTGAAACACTCTTTTTGTGGAATCTGCAAGTGGATATTTGTCTAGCTTTGAGGATTTCGTTGGAAACGGGATTGTCTTCATATAAACTCTAGACAGAAGCATTCCCAGAAACTTCTTTCTGATGTTTGCATTCAAGTCACAGAGTTGAACATTCCCTTTCATAGAGCAGGTTTGAAACACTCTTTTTGTAGTATCTGGATGTGGACATTTGGAGCGCTTTCAGGCCTATGGTGAAAAAGGAAATATCTTCCCCTGAAAACTAGACAGAAAGCATTCTCAGAAACTTATTTGTGATGTGCGCCCTCAACTAACAGTGTTGAACTTTTCTTTTGATAGAGCAGTTTTGAAACACTCTTTTTGTAAAATCTGCAAGAGGATATTTGGATAGCTTTGAGGATTTCGTTGGAAACGGGATTGTCTTCATATAAAATCTAGACAGAAGCATTCTCAGAAGCTTCATTGGGATGTTTCAATTGAAGTCACAGTGTTGAACAGTCCCTTTCATAGAGCAGGTTTGAAACACTCTTTTTGTAGTATCTGGATGTGGACATTTGGAGCGCTTTCAGTCCTATGGTTTAAAAGGAAATATCTTCCCCTGAAAACTAGACAGAAGCATTCTCAGAAACTTATTTGTGATGTGCGCCTTCAACTAACAGTGTTGAAGCATTCTTTTGATAGAGCAGTTTTGAAACACTCTTTTTGTGGAATCTGCAAGTGGATATTTGTCTAGCTTTGAGGATTTCGTTGGAAACGGGATTACATATAAATAGCAGACAGCAGCATTCTCAGTAAACTTATTTGTGATGTGCGCCCTCAACTAACAGTGTTGAACCTTTCTTTTGATAGAGCAGTTTTGAAACACTCTTTTTGTAATATCTGCAAGAGGATATTTGGATAGCTTTGAGGATTTCGTTGGAAACGGGATTGTCTTCATATAAACTCTAGACAGAAGCATTCTCAGAAGCTTCATTGGGATGTTTCAATTGAAGTCACAGTGTTGAACAGTCCCTTTCATAGAGCAGGTTTGAAACACTCTTTTTGTAGTATCTGGAAGTGGACATTTGGAGAGATCTCAGGAATACGGTGATAAAGGAAATATCTTCCAATAAAAGCTAGATAGAAACAATGTCAGAAACTTTTTCATGATGTATCTACTCAGCTAACAGAGTTGAACCTTTCCTTTGAGAGAGCAGTTTTGAAACACTCTTTTTGTGGAATCTGCAAGTGGATATTTGTCTAGCTTTGAGGATTTCGTTGGAAACGGGATTACATATAAAAAGCAGACAGCAGCATTCCCAGAATCTTCTTTGTGATGTTTGCATTCCAGTCACAGAGTTGAACATTCCCTTTCATAGTGCAGGTTTGAAACACTCTTTTTGTAGTATCTGGATGTGGACATTTGGAGCGCTTTCAGGCCTATGGTGAAAAAGGAAATATCTTCCCCTGAAAACTAGACAGAAGCATTCTCAGAATCTTATTTGTGATGTGCGCCCTCAACTAACAGTGTTGAAGCTTTCTTTTGATAGAGCAGTTTTGAAACACTCTTTTTGTAAAATCTGCAAGAGGATATTTGGATAGCTTTGAGGATTTCGTTGGAAACGGGATTGTCTTCATATAAACTCTAGACAGAAGCATTCTCAGAAGCTTCATTGGGATGTTTCAATTGAAGTCACAGTGTTGAACAGTCCCTTTCATAGAGCAGGTTTGAAACACTCTTTTTGTAGAATCTGGATGTGGACATTTGGAGCGCTTTCAGGCATAAGGTGAAAAAGGAAATATCTTCCCCTGAAAACTAGACAGAAGCATTCTCAGACACTTATTTGTGATGTGCGCCCTCAACTAACAGTGTTGAAGCTTTCTTTTGATAGAGCAGTTTTGAAACACTCTTTTTGTAATATCTGCAAGAGGATATTTGGATAGCTTTGAGGATTTCGTTGGAAACGGGATTAATTATAAAAAGCAGACAGCAGCATTCTCAGAAACTTATTTGTGATGTGCGCCCTCAACTAACAGTGTTGAAGCTTTCTTTTGATAGAGCAGTTTTGAAACACTCTTTTTGTAATATCTGCAAGAGGATATTAGGATAGCTTTGAGGATTTCGTTGGAAACGGGATTGTCTTCATATAAACTCTAGACAGAAGCATTCTCAGAAGCTTCATTGGGATGTTTCAATTGAAGTCACAGTGTTGAACAGTTCCTTTCATAGAACAGGTTTGAAACACTCTTTTTGTAGTATCTGGAAGTGGACATTTGGAGCACTCTCAGGACTATGGTGAAAAAGGAAATATCTTCCAATAAAAGCTACATAGAAGAAATGTCAGAAAATTTTTCATGATGTATCTACTCAGCTAACAGAGTTGAACCTTTCTTTGGAGAGAGTAGTTTTGAAACACTCTTTTTGTGGAATCTGCAAGTGGATATTTGTCTAGTTTTGAGGATTGCGTTGTAAATGGTATTACATATAAAAAGCAGACAGCAGCATTCCCAGAAACTTCTTTGTGATATTTGCATTGAAGTCACAGACTTGAACAGTCCGTTTCATAGAGCAGGTTTGAAACACTCTTTTTGTAGTATCTGGATGTGGACATTTGGAGCGCTTTCAGGCCTATGGTGAAAAAGGAAATATCTTCCCCTGAAAACTAGACAGAAGCATTCTCAGAAACTTATTTGTCATGTGCGCCCTCAACTAACAGTGTTGAACCTTTCTTTTGATAGAGCAGTTTTGATACACTCTTTTTGTAAAATCCGCAAGAGGATATTTGGATAGCTTTGAGGATTTCGTTGGAAACGGGATTGTCTTCATATAGAATCTAGACAGAAGCATTCTCAGAAGCTTCATTGGGATGTTTCAATTGAAGTCACAGTGTTGAACAGTCCCTTTCATAGAGCAGGTTTGAAACACTCTTTTTGTAGTATCTGGATGTGGACATTTCGAGCGCTTTCAGGCCTATGGTGAAAAAGGAAATATCTTCCCCTGAAAACTAGACAGAAGCATTCTCAGAAACTTATTTGTGATGTGCGCCCTCAAGTAAGAGTGTTGAAGCATTCTTTTGATAGAGCAGTTTTGAAACACTCTTTTTGTGGAATCTGCAAGTGGATATTTGTCTAGCTTTGAGGATTTCGTTGGAAACGGGATTACATATAAAAAGCAGACAGCTAAGCATTCTCCGAAACTTATTTGTGATGGGCGCCCTCAACTAACAGTGTTGAAGCTTTCTTTTGATAGAGCAGTTTTGAAACACTCTTTTTGTAATATCTGCAAGAGGATATTTGGATAGCTTTCAGGATTTCGTTGGAAACGGGATTGTCTTCATATAAACTCTAGACATAAGCATTCTCAGAAGCTTCATTGGTATGTTTCAATTGAAGTCACAGTGTTGAACAGTTCCTTTCATAGAACAGGTTTGAAACACTCATTTTGTAGTATCTGGAAGT
This sequence comes from Homo sapiens, assembly GCF_000001405.40. Classification (NCBI taxonomy): domain Eukaryota; kingdom Metazoa; phylum Chordata; class Mammalia; order Primates; family Hominidae; genus Homo; species Homo sapiens. Next base: position 93,835,827 of record NC_000002.12, read on the forward strand.
GGACATTTGGAGCGCTCTCAGGACTCTCGTGAAAAAGGAAATATCTTCCAATAAAAGCTACATAGAAGCAATGTCAGAAACTTTTTCATGATGTATCTACTCAGCTAACAGAGTTGAACCTTCCTTTGAGAGAGCAGTTTTGAAACACTCTTTTTGTGGAATCTCCAAGTGGATATTTGTCTAGCTTTGAGGATTTCGTTGGAAACGGGATTACATATAAAAAGCAGACAGCAGCATTCCCAGAAACTTCTTTGTGATGTTTGCATTCAAGTCACAGAGTTGAACATTCCCTTTCATAGAGCAGGTTTGAAACACTCTTTTTGTAGTATCTGGATGTGGACATTTGCAGCGCTTTCAGGCCTAAGGTGAAAAAGGAAATATCTTCCCCTGAAAACTAGACAGAAGCATTCTCAGAAACTTATTTGTGATTTGCGCCCTCAACTAACAGTGTTGAAGCTTTCTTTTGATAGAGCAGTTTTGAAACACTCTTTTTGTGGAATCTGCAAGTGGATATTTGTCTAGCTTTGAGGATTTCATTGGAAACGGGATTACATAAAAAAAGCAGACAGCAGCATTCTCAGAAACTTATTTGTGATGTGCGCCCTCAACTAACAGTGTTGAAGCTTTCTTTTGATAGAGCAGTTTTGAAACACTCTTTTTGTAATATCTGCAAGAGGATATTTGGATAGCTTTGAGGATTTCGTTGGAAACGGGATTAATTATACAAAGCAGACAGCAGCATTCTCAGAAGCTTCATTGGCATGTTTCAATTGAAGTCACAGTGTTGAACAGTTCCTTTCATAGAACAGGTTTGAAACACTCTTTTTGTAGTATCTGGAAGTGGACATTTGGAGGGCTCTCAGGACTATGGTGAAAAAGGAAATATCTTCCAATAAAAGCTACATAGAAGCAATGTCAGAAACTTTTTCATGATGTATCTACTCAGCTAACAGAGTTGAACCTTTCTTTTGAGAGAGCAGTTTTGAAACACTCTTTTTGTGGAATCTGCAAGTGGATATTTGTCTAGCTTTGAGGATTTCGTTGGAAACGGGATTACATATACAAAGCAGACAGCAGCATTCCCAGTAACTTCTTTGTGATGTTTGCATTCAAGTCACAGAGTTGAACATTCCCTTTCATAGAGCAGGTTTGAAACACTCTTTTTGAAGTATCTGGTTGTGGACATTTGGAGCGCTTTCAGGCCTATGGTGAAAAAGGAAATATCTTCCCCTGAAAACTAGACAGAAGCATTCTCAGAAACTTATTTGTGATGTGCGCCCTCAACTAACAGTGTTGAACCTTTCTTTTGATAGAGCAGTTTTGAAACACTCTTTTTGTAATATCTGCAAGAGGATATTTGGATAGCTTTGAGGATTTCGTTGGAAACGGGATTGTCTTCATATAAACTCTAGACCGAAGCATTCTCAGTAAGCTTCATTGGGATGTTTCAATTGAAGTCACAGTGTTGAACAGTCCCTTTGATAGAGCAGGTTTGAAACACTCTTTTTGTAGTATCTGGATGTGGACATTTGCAGCGCTTTCAGGCATAAGGTGAAAAAGGAAATATCTTCCCCTGAAAACTAGACAGAAGCATTCTCAGAAACTTATTTGTGATGTGCTCCCTCAACTAACAGTGTTGAAGCATTCTTTTGATAGAGCAGTTTTGAAACACTCTTTTTGTGGAATCTGCAAGTGGATATTTGTCTAGCTTTGAGGATTTCGTTGGAAACGGGATTACATATAAAAAGCAGACAGCAGCATTCTCAGTAAACTTATTTGTGATGTGCGCCCTCAACTAACAGTGTTGAACCTTTCTTTTGATAGAGCAGTTTTGAAACACTCTTTTTGTAATATCTGCAAGAGGATATTTGGATAGCTTTGAGGATTTCGTTGGAAACGGGATTGTCTTCATATAAACTCTAGACAGAAGCATTCTCAGAAGCTTCATTGGGATGTTTCAATTGAAGTCACAGTGTTGAACAGTCCCTTTCATAGAGCAGGTTTGAAACACTCTTTTTGTAGTATCTGGAAGTGGACATTTGGAGAGATCTCAGGAATACGGTGATAAAGGAAATATCTTCCAATAAAAGCTAGATAGAAGCAATGTCAGAAAATTGTTCATGATGTATCTACTCAGCTAACAGAGTTGAACCTTTCTTTTGAGACAGCAGTTTTGAAACACTCTTTTGGTGGAATCTGCAAGTGGATATTTGTTTAGCTTTGAGGATTTCGTTGGAAACGGGATTACATATAAAAAGCAGACAGCAGCATTCCCAGTAACTTCTTTGTGATGTTTGCATTCAAGTCACAGAGTTGAACATTCCCTTTCATAGAGCAGGTTTGAAACACTTTTTTTGTAGTATCTGGATGTGGACATTTGGAGCGCTTTCAGGCGTATGGTGAAAAAGGAAATATTTTCCAATAAAAGCTAGATAGAAGCATTCTCAGAAACTTATTTGTCATGTGCGCCCTCAACTAACAGTGTTGAAGCTTTCTTTTGATAGAGCAGTTTTGATACACTCTTTTTGTAAAATCCGCAAGAGGATATTTGGATAGCTTTGAGGATTTCGTTGGAAACGGCATTGTCTTCATATAGAATCTAGACAGAAGCATTCTCAGAAGCGTCATTGGGATGTTTCAATTGAAGTCACAGTGTTGAACAGTCCCTTTCATAGAGCAGGTTTGAAACACTCTTTTTGTAGTATCTGGATGTGGACATTTGGAGCGCTTTCAGGCCTATGGTGAAAAAGGAAATATCTTCCCCTGAAAACTAGACAGAAGCATTCTCAGAAACTTATTTGTGATGTGCGCCCTCAACTAACAGTGTTGAAGCATTCTTTTGATAGAGCAGTTTTGAAACACTCTTTTTGTGGAATCTGCAAGTGGATATTTGTCTAGCTTTGAGGATTTCGTTGGAAACGGGATTACATATGAAAAGCAGACAGCAGCATTCTCAGAAACTTATTTGTGATGTGCGCCCTCAACTAACAGTGTTGAAGCTTTATTTTGATAGAGCAGTTTTGAAACACTCTTTTTGTAATATCTGCAAGAGAATATTTGGATAGCTTTGAGGATTTCGTTGGAAACGGGATTGTCTTCATATAAACTCTAGAAAGATGCATTCTCAGAAGCTTCATTGGGATGTTTCAATTGAAGTCACAGTGTTGAACAGTCCCTTTCATAGAGCAGGTTTGAAACACTCTTTTTGTAGCATCTGGAAGTGGACATTTGGAGCGTTCTCAGGACTACGGTGAAAAAGGAAATATCTTCCAATAAAAGCTAGATAGAAGCAATGTCAGAAACTTTTTCATGATGTATCTACTCAGCTAACAGAGTTGAACCTTTCTTTTGAGAGAGCAGTTTTGAAACACTCTTTTTGTGGAATCTGCAAGTGGATATTTGTCTAGCTTTGAGGATTTCGTTGGAAACGGGATTACATATAAAAAGCAGACAGCAGCATTCCCAGAAACTTCTTTGTGATGTTTGCATTCAAGTCACAGAGTTGAACATTCCGTTTCATAGAGCAGGTTTGAAACACTCTTTTTGTAGTATCTGGATGTGGACATTAGGAGCGCTCTCAGGCCTATGGTGAAAAAGGAAATATCTTCCCCTGAAAACTAGACAGAAGGATTCTCAGAATCTTATTTGTGATGTGCGCCCTCAACTAACAGTGTTGAAGCTTTCTTTTGATAGAGCAGTTTTGAAACACTCTTTTTGTAAAATCTGCAAGAGGATATTTGGATAGCTTTGAGGATTTCGTTGGAAACGGGATTGTCTTCATATAAACTCTATACAGAAGCATTCTCAGAAGCTTCATTGGGATGTTTCAATTGAAGTTACAGTGTTGAACAGTCCCTTTCATAGAGCAGGTTTGAAACACTCTTTTTGTAGTATCTGGATGTGGACATTTGGAGCGCTTTCAGGCCTATGGTTTAAAAGGAAATATCTTCCCCTGAAAACTAGACAGAAGCATTCTCAGAAACTTATTTGTGATGTGCGCCCTCAACTAACAGTGTTGAAGCATTCTTTTGATAGAGCAGTTTTGAAACACTCTTTTTGTGGAATCTGCAAGTGGATATTTGTCTAGCTTTGAGGATTTCGTTGGAAACGGGATTACATATAAAAAGCAGACAGCAGCATTCTCAGTAAACTTATTTGTGATGTGCGCCCTCAACTAACAGTGTTGAACCTTTCTTTTGATAGAGCAGTTTTGAAACACTCTTTTTGTAATATCTGCAAGAGGATATTTGGATAGCTTTGAGGATTTCGTTGGAAACGGGATTGTCTTCATATAAACTCTAGACAGAAACATTCTCAGAAGCTTCATTGGGATGTTTCAATTGAAGTCACAGTGTTGAACAGTTCCTTTCATAGAACAGGTTTCAAACACTCTTTTTGTAGTATCTGGAAGTGGACATTTGGAGCGCTCTCAGGACTACGGTGAAAAAGGAAATATCTTCCAATAAAAGCTACATAGAAGCAATGTCAGAAACTTTTTCATGATGTATCTACTCAGCTAACAGAGTTGAAACTTTCCTTTGAGAGAGCAGTTTTGAAACACTCTTTTTGTGGAATCTGCAAGTGGATATTTGTCTAGCTTTGAGGATTTCGTTGGAAACGGGATTACATATAAAAAGCAGACAGCAGCATTCCCAGTAACTTCTTTGTGATGTTTGCATTCAAGTCACAGAGTTGAACATTCCCTTTCATAGAGCAGGTTTGAAACACTCTTTTTGAAGTATCTGGATGTGGACATTTGGAGCGCTTTCAGGCCTATGGTGAAAAAGGAAATATCTTCCCCTGAAAACTAGACAGAAGCATTCTCAGAAACTTATTTGTGATGTGCGCCCTCAACTAACAGTGTTGAAGCTTTCTTTTGATAGAGCAGTTTTGAAACACTCTTTTTGTAATATCTGCAAGAGGATATTTGGATAGCTTTGAGGATTTCGTTGGAAACGCGATTGTCTTCATATAAACTCTAGACAGAAGCATTCTCAGAAGCGTCATTGGGATATTTCAATTGAAGTCACAGTGTTGAACAGTCCCTTTCATAGAGCAGGTTTGAAACACTCTTTTTGTAGTATCTGGATGTGGACATTTGGAGCGCTTTCAGGCCTATGGTTTAAAAGGAAATATCTTCCCCTGAAAACTAGACAGAAGCATTCTCAGAAACTTATTTGTGATGTGCGCCTTCAACTAACAGTGTTGAAGCATTCTTTTGATAGAGCAGTTTTGAAACACTCTTTTTGTGGAATCTGCAAGTGGATATTTGTCTAGCTTTGAGGATTTCGTTGGAAACGGGATTACATATAAAAAGCAGACAGCAGCATTCTCAGAAACTTATTTGTGATGTGCGCCCTCAACTAACAGTGTTGAAGCTTTATTTTGATAGAGCAGTTTTGAAACACTCTTTTTGTAATATCTGCAAGAGAATATTTGGATAGCTTTGAGGATTTCGTTGGAAACGGGATTGTCTTCATATAAACTCTAGAAAGAAGCATTCTCAGAAGCTTCATTGGGATGTTTCAATTGAAGTCACAGTGTTGAACAGTCCCTTTCATAGAGCAGGTTTGAAACACTCTTTTTGTAGTATCTGGAAGTGGACATTTGGAGAGATCTCAGGAATACGGTGATAAAGGAAATATCTTCCAATAAAAGCTAGATAGAAGCAATGTCAGAAACTTTTTCATGATGTATCTACTCAGCTAACAGAGTTGAACCTTTCCTTTGAGAGAGCAGTTTTGAAACACTGTTTTTGTGGAATCTGCAAGTGGATATTTGTCTAGCTTTGAGGATTTCGTTGGAAACGGGATTACATATAAAAAGCAGACAGCAAGCATTCCCAGAAACTTCTTTGTGATGTTTGCATTCAAGTCACAGAGTTGAACATTCCCTTTCATAGAGCAGGTTTGAAACTCTCTTTTTGTAGTATCTGGAGGTGGACATTTGGAGCGCTTTCAGGCCTATGGTGAAAAAGGAAATATCTTCCCCTGAAAACTAGACAGAAGCATTCTCAGAAACTTATTTGTGATGTGCGCCCTCAACTAACAGTGTTGAACCTTTCTTTTGATAGAGCAGTTTTGAAACACTCTTTTTGTAATATCTGCAAGAGGATATTTGGATAGCTTTGAGGATTTCGTTGGAAACGGGATTGTCTTCATATAAACTCTAGACAGAAGCATTCTCAGAAGCTTCATTGGGATGTTTCAATTGAAGTCACAGTGTTGAACAGTCCCTTTCATAGAGCAGATTTGAAACACTCTTTTTGTAGTATCTGGATGTGGACATTTGGAGCGCTTTCAGGCCTATGATTTAAAAGGAAATATCTTCCCCTGAAAACTAGACAGAAGCATTCTCAGAAACTTATTTGTGATGTGCGCCCTCAACTAACAGTGTTGAAGCTTTCTTTTGATAGAGCAGTTTTGAAACACTCTTTTTGTGGAATCTGCAAGTGGATATTTGTCTAGCTTTGAGGATTTCGTTGGAAACGGGATTACATATAAAAAGCAGACAGCAGCATTCTCAGAAACTTATTTGTGATGTGCGCCCTCAACTAACAGTGTTGAAGCTTTCTTTTGATAGAGCAGTTTTGAAACACTCTTTTTGTAATATCTGCAAGAGGATATTTGGATAGCTTTGAGGATTTCGTTGGAAACGGGATTAATTATACAAAGCAGACAGCAGCATTCTCAGAAGCTTCATTGGGATGTTTCAATTGAAGTCACAGTGTTGAACAGTCCCTTTCATAGAGCAGGTTTGAAAAACTCATTTTGTAGTATCTGGAAGTGGACATTTGGAGCGCTCTCAGGACTACGGTGAAAAAGGAAATATCTTCCAATAAAAGCTAGATAGAAGCAATGTCAGAAACTTTTTCATGATGTATCTACTCAGCTAACAGAGTTGAACCTTTCCTTTGAGAGAGCAGTTTTGAAACACTCTTTTTGTTGAATCTGCAAGTGGATATTTGTCTAGCTTTGAGGATTTCGTTGGAAACGGGATTACATATAAAAAGCAGACAGCAGCATTCCCAGTAACTTCTTTGTGATGTTTGCATTCAAGTCACAGAGTTGAACATTCCCTTTCATAGAGCAGGTTTGAAACACTGTTTTTGTAGTATCTGGATGTGGACATTTGGAGCGCTTTCAGGCCTATGGTGAAAAAGGAAATATCTTCCCCTGAAAACTAGACAGAAGCATTCTCAGAACCTTATTTGTGATATGCGCTCTCAACTAACAGTGTTGAAGCTTTCTTTTGATAGAGCAGTTTTGAAACACTCTTTTTGTAAAATCTGCAAGAGGATATTTGGATAGCTTTGAGGATTTCGTTGGAAACGGGATTGTCTTCATATAAACTCTAGACAGAAGCATTCTCAGAAGCTTCATTGGGATGTTTCAATTGAAGTCACAGTGTTGAACAGTCCCTTTCATAGAGCAGGTTTGAAACACTCTTTTTGTAGTATCTGGATGTGGACATTTGGAGCGCTTTCAGGCCTATGGTGAAAAAGGAAATATCTTCCCCTGAAAACTAGACAGAAGCATTCTCAGAAACTTATTTGTGATGTGCGCCCTCAACTAACGGTGTTGAACCTTTCTTTTGATAGAGCAGTTTTGAAACACTCTTTTTGTAATATCTGCAAGAGGATATTTGGATAGCTTTGATGATTTCGTTGGAAACGGGATTAATTATAAAAAGCCGACAGCAGCATTCTCAGAATCTTATTTGTGATGTGCGCCCTCAACTAACAGTGTTGAACTTTTCTTTTGATAGAGCAGTTTTGAAACACTCTTTTTGTAAAATCTGCAAGAGGATATTTGGATAGCTTTGAGGATTTCGTTGTAAACGGGATTGTCTTCATATAAAATCTAGACAGAAGCATTCTCAGAAGCTTCATTGGGATGTTTCAATTGAAGTCACAGTGTTGAACAGTCCCTTTCATAGAGCAGGTTTGAAACACTCTTTTTGTAGTATCTGGAAGTGGACATTTGGAGCGCTCTCAGGACTACGGTGAAAAAGGAAATATCTTCCAATAAAAGCTAGATAGAAGCAATGTCAGAAACTTTTTCATGATGTATCTACTCAGCTAACAGAGTTGAACCTTTCTTTTGAGAGAGCAGTTTTGAAACACTCTTTTTGTGTAATCTGAAAGTGGATATTTGTCTAGCTTTGAGGATTTCGTTGGAAACGGGATTACATATAAAAAGCAGACAGCAGCATTCCCAGAAACTTCTTTGTGAAATTTGCATTCAAGTCACAGAGTTGAACATTCCCTTTCATAGAGCAGGTTTGAAACACTCTTTTTGTAGTATCTGGATGTGGACATTTGGAGCGCTTTCAGGCCTATGGTGAAAAAGGAAATATCTTCCCCTGAAAACTATACAGAAGCATTCTCAGAAACTTGTTTGTGATGTGTGTACTCAACTAACAGAGTTGACCCTTTCTTTTGATAGAGCAGTTTTGAAACACTCTTTTTGTAGAATCTGCAAGTGGATATTTGGATAGCTTTGAGGATTTCGTTGGAAACGGGAATATCTTCATACAAAATCTAGACAGAAGCATTCTCAGAAGCGTCATTGGGATATTTCAATTGAAGTCACAGTGTTGAACAGTCCCTTTCATAGAGCAGGTTTGAAACACTCTTTTTGTAGTATCTGGATGTGGACATTTGGAGCGCTTTCAGGCCTATGGTTTAAAAGGAAATATCTTCCCCTGAAAACTAGACAGAAGCATTCTCAGAAACTTATTTGTGATGTGCGCCCTCAACTAACAGTGTTGAACCTTTCTTTTGATAGAGCAGTTTTGAAACACTCTTTTTGTAATATCTGCAAGAGGATATTTGGATAGCTTTGAGGATTTCGTTGGAAACGGGATTACATATAAAAAGCAGACAGCAGCATTCTCAGAATCTTATTTGTGATGTGCGCCCACAGCTAACAGTGTTGAAGCTTTCTTTTGATAGAGCAGTTTTGAAACAGTCTTTTTGTAAAATCTGCAAGAGGATATTTGGATAGCTTTGAGGATTTCATTGGAAACGGGATTCTCTTCATATAAACTCTAGACAGAAGCATTCTCAGAAGCTTCATTGGGATGTTTCAATTGAAGTCACAGTGTTGAACAGTCCCTTTCATAGAGCAGGTTTGAAACACTCTTTTTGTAGTATCTGGAAGTGGACATTTGGAGCGCTCTCAGGACTACGGTGAAAAAGGAAATATCTTCCAATAAAAGCTGCATAGAAGCAATGTCAGAAACTTTTTCATGATGTATCTACTCAGCTAACAGAGTTGAACCTTTCTTTTGAGAGAGCAGTTTTGAAACACTCTTTTTGTGGAATCTGCAAGTGGATATTTGTCTACCTTTGAGGATTTCGTTGGAAACGGGATTATATATAGAAAGCAGACAGCAGCATTCCCAGAAACTTCTTTGTGACGTTTGCATTCAAGTCACAGAGTTGAACATTCCCTTTCATAGAGCAGGTTTGAAACACTCTTTTTGTAGTATCTGGATGTGGACATTTGGAGCGCTTTCAGGCCTATGGTGAAAAAGGAAATATCTTCCCCTGAAAACTAGACAGAAGCATTCTCAGAAACTTATTTGTGATGTGCGCCCTCAACTAACAGTGTTGAACCTTTCTTTTGATAGAGCAGTTTTGAAACACTCTTTTTGTAAAATCTGCAAGAGGATATTTGGATAGCTTTGAGGATTTCGTTGAAAACGGGATTGTCTTCATATAAACTCTAGACAGAAGCATTCTCAGAAGCGTCATTGGGATGTTTCAATTGAAGTCACAGTGTTGAACAGTCCCTTTCATAGAGCAGGTTTGAAACACTCTTTTTGTAGTATCTGGATGTGGACATTTGGAGCGCTTTCAGGCCTATGGTTTAAAAGGAAATATCTTCCCCTGAAAACTAGACAGAAGCATTCTCAGAAACTTATTTGTGATGTGCGCCCTCAACTAACAGTGTTGAAGCTTTCTTTTGATAGAGCAGTTTTGAAACACTCTTTTTGTGGAATCTGCAAGTGGATATTTGTCTAGCTTTGAGGATTTCGTTGGAAACGGGATTACATATAAAAAGCAGACAGCAGCATTCTCAGTAAACTTATTTGTGATGTGCGCCCTCAACTAACAGTGTTGAACCTTTCTTTTGATAGAGCAGTTTTGAAACACTCTTTTTGTAATATCTGCAAGAGGATATTTGGATAGCTTTGAGGATTTCGTTGGAAACGGGATTGTCTTCATATAAACTCTAGACAGAAGCATTCTCAGAAGCTTCATTGGGATGTTTCAATTGAAGTCACAGTGTTGAACAGTTCCTTTCATAGAACAGGTTTGAAACACTCTTTTTGTAGTATCTGGAAGTGGACATTTTGAGCGCTCTCAGGATTATGGTGAAAAAGGAAATATCTTCCAATAAAAGCTACACAGAAAGCAATGTCAGAAACTTTTTCATGATGTATCTACTCAGCTAACAGAGTTGAACCTTTCCTTTGAGAGAGCAGTTTTGAAACACTCTTTTTGTGGAATCTGCAAGTGGATATTTGTCTAGCTTTGAGGATTTCGTTGGAAACGGGATTACATATAAAAAGCAGACAGCAGCATTCCCAGAAACTTCTTTGTGATGTTTCCATTCAAGTCACAGAGTTGAACATTCCCTTTCATAGAGCAGGTTTGAAACACTCTTTTTGTAGTATCTGGATGTGGACATTTGCAGCGCTTTCAGGCATAAGGTGAAAAAGGAAATATCTTCCCCTGAAAACTAGACAGAAGCATTCTCAGAATTTTATTTGTGATGTGCGCCCTCAACTAACAGTGTTGAAGCTTTCTTTTGATAGAGCAGTTTTGAAACACTCTTTTTGTAAAATCTGCTAGAGGATATTTGGATAGCTTTGAGGATTTCTTTGGAAACGGGATTGTCTTCATATAAATTCTAGACAGAAGCATTCTCAGATGCTTCATTGGGACGTTTCAATTGAAGTCACAGTGTTGAACAGTCCCTTTCATAGAGCAGGTTTGAAACACTCTTTTTGTAGTATCTGGATGTGGACATTTGGAACGCTTTCAGGCCTATGGTGAAAAAGGAAATATCTTCCCCTGAAAACTAGACAGAAGCATTCTCAGAAACTTATTTGTGATGTGCGCCCTCAACTAACAGTGTTGAAGCATTCTTTTGATAGAGCAGTTTTGAAACACTCTTTTTGTGGAATCTGCAAGTGGATATTTGTCTAGCTTTGAGGATTTCGTTGGAAACGGGATTACATATAAAAAGCAGACAGCAGCATTCTCAGCAAACTTATTTGTGATGTGCGCCCTCAACTAACAGTGTGGAACTTTTCTTTTGATAGAGCAGTTTTGAAACACTCTTTTTGTAAAATCTGCAAGAGGATATTTGGATAGCTTTGAGGATTTCGTTGGAAACGGGATTGTCTTCATATAGAATCTAGACAGAAGCATTCTCAGAAGCTTCATTGGGATGTTTCAATTGAAGTCACAGTGTTGAACAGTCCCTTTCATAGAGCAGGTTTGAAACACTCTTTTTGTAGTATCTGGAGGTGGACATTTGGAGCGTTCTCAGGACTACAGTGGAAAAGGAAATATCTTCCAGTAAAAGCTAGATAGAAGCAATGTCAGAAACTTTTTCATGATGTATCTACTCAGCTAACAGAGTTGAACCTTTCTTTTGAGAGAGCAGTTTTGAAACACTCTTTTTGTGTAATCTGAAAGTGGATATTTGTCTAGCTTTGAGGATTTCGTTGGAAACGGGATTACATATAAAAAGCAGACAGCAGCATTCCCAGTAACTTCTTTGTGAAGTTTGCATTCAAGTCACAGAGTTGAACATTCCCTTTCATAGAGCAGGTTTGAAACACTCTTTTTGTAGTATCTGGATGTGGACATTTGGAGCGCTTTCAGGCCTATTGTGAAAAAGGAAATATCTTCCCCTGAAAACTAGACAGAAGCATTCTCAGAATCTTATTTGTGATGTGCGCCCTCAACTAACAGTGTTGAAGCTTTCTTTTGATAGAGCAGTTTTGAAACACTCTTTTTGTAAAATCTGCAGGAGGATATTTGGATAGCTTTGAGGATTTCGTTGGAAACGGGATTGTCTTCATATAAACTCTAGACAGAAGCATTCTCAGAAGCTTCATTGGGATGTTTCAATTGAAGTCACAGTGTTGAACAGTCCCTTTCATAGAGCAGGTTTGAAACACTCTTTTTGTAGTATCTGGATGTGGACATTTCGAGCGCTTTCAGGCCTATGGTGAAAAAGGAAATATCTTCCCCTGAAAACTAGACAGAAGCATTCTCAGAAACTTATTTGTGATGTGCGCCCTCAACTAACAGTGTTGAAGCTTTCTTTTGATAGAGCAGTTTTGAAACACTCTTTTTGTGGAATCTGCAAGTGGATATTTGTCTAGCTTTGAGGATTTCGTTGGAAACGGGATTACATATAAAAAGCAGACAGCAGCATTCTCAGAAACTTATTTGTGATGTGCGCCCTCAACTAACAGTGTTGAAGCTTTCTTTTGATAGAGCAGTTTTGAAACACTCTTTTTGTAATATCTGCAAGAGGATATTTGGATAGCTTTGAGGATTTCGTTGGAAACGGGATTAATTATACAAAGCAGACAGCAGCATTCTCAGAAGCTTCTTTGGGATGTTTCAATTGAAGTCACAGTGTTGAACAGTCCCTTTCATAGAGCAGGTTTGAAACACTCTTTTTGTAGTATCTGGAAGTGGACATTTGGAGCGCTCTCAGGACTACGGTGAAAAAGGAAATATCTTCCAATAAAAGCTACATAGAAAGCAATATCATAAACTTTTTCATGATGTATCTACTCAGCTAAAAGAGTTGAACCTTTCTTTTGAGAGAGCAGTTTTCAAACACTCTTTTTGTGGAATCTGCAAGTGGATATTTGTCTGGCTTTGAAGATTTCGTTGGAAACGGGATTACATATAAAAAGCAGACAGCAGCATTCCCAGAAACTTCTTTGTGATGTTTGCATTCAAGTCACAGAGTTGAACATTCCCTTTCATAGAGCAGGTTTGAAACACTCTTTTTGTAGTATCTGGAAGTGGACATTTGGAGCGCTCTCAGGACTACGGTGAAAAAGGAAATATCTTCCAATAAAAGCTAGATAGAAGCGTTCTCAGAAACTTATTTGTGATGTGCGCCCTCAACTAACAGTGTTAAACCTTTCTTTTGATAGAGTAGTTTTGAAACACTCTTTGTAAAATCTGCAAGAGGATATTTTGATAGCTTTGAGGATTTCTTTGGAAACGGGATTGTCTTCATATAAAATCTAGACAGAAGCATTCTCAGATGCTTCATTGGGATGTTTCAATTAAAGTCACAGTGTTGAACAGTCCCTTTTATAGAGCAGGTTTGAAACACTCTTTTTGTAGTATCTGGATGTGGACATTTGGAGCGCTTTCAGGCCTATGGTGAAAAAGGAAATATCTTCCCCTGAAAACTAGACAGAAGCATTCTCAGAAACTTATTTGTGATGTGCCCCCTCAACTAACAGTGTTGAAGCTTTCTTTTGATAGAGCAGTTTTGAAACACTCTTTTTGTGGAATCTGCAAGTGGATATTTGTCTAGCTTTGAGGATTTCGTTGGAAACGGGATTACATATAAAAAGCAGACAGCAGCATTCTCAGAAACTTATTTGTGATGTGCGCCCTCAACTAACAGTGTTGAAGCTTTCTTTTGATAGAGCAGTTTTGAAACACTCTTTTTGTAATATCTGCAAGAGGATATTTGGATAGCTTTGAGGATTTCGTTGGAAACGGGATTAATTATACAAAGCAGACAGCAGCATTCTCAGAAGCTTCATTGGGATGTTTCAATTGAAGTCACAGTGTTGAACAGTTCCTTTCATAGAGCAGGTTTGAAACACTCTTTTTGTAGTATCTGGAAGTGGACATTTGGAGCGCTCTCAGGACTACGATGATAAAGGAAATATCTTCCAATAAAAGCTAGATAGAAGCAATGTCAGAAAATTGTTCATGATGTATCTACTCAGCTAACAGAGTTGAACCTTTCTTTTGAGAGAACAGTTTTGAAACACACTTTTTGTGGAATATGCAAGTGGATATTTGTCTAGCTTTGAGGATTTCGTTGGAAACGGGATTACATATAAAAGGCAGACAGAAGCATTCCCAGAAACTTCTTTGTGATGTTTGCATTCAAGTCACAGAGTTGAACATTCCCTTTCATAGAGCAGGTTTGAAACACTCTTTTTGTAGTATCTGGATGTGGACATTTGGAGCGCTTTCAGGCCTATGGTGAAAAAGGAAATATCTTCCCCTGAAAACTAGACAGAAGCATTCTCAGAAACTTATTTGTGATGTGCGCCCTCAACTAACAGTGTTGAAGCTTTCTTTTGATAGAGCAGTTTTGAAACACTCTTTTTGTAATATCTGCAAGAGGATATTTGGATAGCTTTGAGGATTTCGTTGGAAACGGGATTGTCTTCATATAAACTACTAGACAGAAGCATTCTCAGAAGCTTCATTGGGATGTTTCAATTGAAGTCACAGTGTTGAACAGTCCCTTTCATAGAGCAGGTTTGAAACACTCTTTTTGTAGTATCTGGATGTGGACATTTGGAGCGCTTTCAGGCCTATGGTGAAAAAGGAAATATCTTCCCCTGAAAACTAGACAGAAGCATTCTCAGAAACTTATTTGTGATGTGCCCCCTCAACTAACAGTGTTGAAGCTTTCTTTTGATAGAGCAGTTTTGAAACACTCTTTTTGTGGAATCTGCAAGTGGATATTTGTCTAGCTTTGAGGATTTCGTTGGAAACGGGATTACATATAAAAAGCAGCCAGCAGCATTCTCAGTAAACTTATTTGTGATGTGCGCCCTCAACTAACAGTGTTGAACCTTTCTTTTGATAGAGCAGTTTTGAAACACTCTTTTTGTAATATCTGCAAGAGGATATTTGGATAGCTTTGAGGATTTCGTTGGAAACGGGATTGTCTTCATATAAACTCTAGACAGAAGCATTCTCAGAAGCTTCATTGGGATGTTTCAATTGAAGTCACAGTGTTGAATAGTCCCTTTCATAGAGCAGGTTTGAAACACTCTTTTTGTAGTATCTGGAAGTGGACATTTGGAGCGTTCTGAGGACTACGGTGAAAAAGGAAATATCTTCCAATAAAAGCTAGATAGAAGCAATGTCAGAAACTTTTTCATGATGTATCTACTCAGCTAACAGAGTTGAACCTTTCTTTTGAGAGAGCAGTTTTGAAACACTCTTTTTGTGGAATCTGGAAGTGGATATTTGTCTAGCTTTGAGGATTTCGTTGGAAACGGGATTACATATAAAAAGCAGACAGCAGCATTCCCAGAAACTTCTTTGTGATGTTTGCATTCAAGTCACAGAGCTGAACATTCCCTTTCATAGAGCAGGTTTGAAACACTCTTTTTGTAGTATCTGGATGTGGACATTTGGAGCGCTTTCAGGCCTATGGTGAAAAAGGAAATATCTTCCCCTGAAAACTAGACAGAAGCATTCTCAGAATCTTATTTGTGATGTGCGCCCTCAACTAACAGTGTTGAAGCTTTCTTTTGATAGAGCAGTTTTGAAACACTCTTTTTGTAAAATCTGCAAGAGGATATTTGGATAGCTTTGAGGATTTCGTTGGATACGGGATTGTCTTCATATAAACTCTAGACAGAAGCATTCTCAGAAGCCTCATTGGGATGTTTCAATTGAAGTCACAGTGTTGAACAGTCCCTTTCATAGAGCAGATTTGAAACACTCTTTTTGTAGTATCTGGATGTGGACATTTGGAGCGCTTTCAGGCCTATGGTTTAAAAGGAAATATCTTCCCCTGAAAACTAGACAGAAGCATTCTCAGAAACTTATTTGTGATGTGCGCCCTCAACTAACAGTGTTGAAGCATTCTTTTGATAGAGCAGTTTTGAAACACTCTTTTTGTGGAATCTGCAAGTGGATATTTGTCTAGCTTTGAGGATTTCGTTGGAAACGGGATTACATATAAAAAGCAGACAGCAGCATTCCCAGAAACTTCTTTGTGATGTTTGCATTCAAGTCACAGAGTTGAACATTCCCTTTCATAGAGCAGGTTTGAAACACTCTTTTTGTAGCATCTGGATGTGGACATTTGGAGCGCTTTCAGGCCTATGGTGAAAAAGGAAATATCTTCCCTGAAAACTAGACAGAAGCATTCTCAGAAGCTTCATTGGGATGTTTCAATTGAAGTCACAGTGTTGAACAGTCCCTTTCATAGAGCAGGTTTGAAACACTCTTTTTGTAGTATCTGGAAGTGGACATTTGGAGCGCTCTCAGGACTACGGTGAAAAAGGAAATATCTTCCAATAAAAGCTAGATAGAAGGAATGTCAGAAAATTGTTCATGATGTATCTACTCAGCTAACAGAGTTGAACCTTTCTTTTGAGACAGCAGTTTTGAAACACTCTTTTGGTGGAATCTGCAAGTGGATATTTGTCTAGCTTTGAGGATTTCGTTGGAAACGGGATTACATATAAAAAGCAGACAGCAGCATTCCCAGAAACTTCTTTGTGATGTTTGCATTCAAGTCACAGAGTTGAACATTCCCTTTCATAGAGCAGGTTTGAAACACTCTTTTTGTAGTATCTGGATGTGGACATTTGGAGCGCTTTCACGCCTATGGTGAAAAAGGAAATATCTTCCCCTGAAAACTAGACAGAAGCATTCTCAGAAACTTATTTGTGATGTGCGCCCTCAACTAACAAGTGTTGAACCTTTCTTTTGATAGAGCAGTTTTGAAACACTCTTTTTGTAAAATCTGCAAGAGGATATTTGGATAGCTTTGAGGATTTCGTTGGAAACGGGATTGTCTTCATATAAACTCTAGAGAGAAGCATTCTCAGAAGCTTCATTGGGATGTTTCAATTGAAGTCACAGTGTTGAACAGTCCCTTTCATAGAGCAGGTTTGAAACACTCTTTTTGTAGTATCTGGAAGTGGACATTTGGAGAGATCTCAGGAATACGGTGATAAAGGAAATATCTTCCAATAAAAGCTAGATAGAAGCAATGTCAGAAACTTTTTCATGATGTATCTACTCAGCTAACAGAGTTGAACCTTTCTTTTGAGAGAGCAGTTTTGAAACACTCTTTTTGTGTAATCTGAAAGTGGATATTTGTCTAGCTTTGAGGATTTCGTTGGAAACGGGATTACATATAAAAAGCAGACAGCAGCATTCCCAGAAACTTCTTTGTGATGTTTGCATTCAAGTCACAGAGTTGAACATTCCCTTTCATAGAGCAGGTTTGAAACACTCTTTTTGTAGTATCTGGATGTGGACATTTGGAGCACTTTCAGGCCTATGGTGAAAAAGGAAATATCTTCCCCTGAAAACTAGACAGAAGCATTCTCAGAAACTTATTTGCGATGTGCACCCTCAACTAACAGTGTTGAAGCTTTCTTTTGATAGAGCAGTTTGAAACACTCTTTTTGTAAAATCTGCAAGAGGATATTTGGATAGCTTTGAGGATTTCGGTGGAAATGGGATTGTCTTCATATAAACTCTAGACAGTAGCATTCTCAGAAGCTTCATTGGGATGTTTCAATTGAAGTCACAGTGTTGAACAGTCCCTTTCATAGAGCAGGTTTGAAACACTCATTTGTAGTATCTGGATGTGGACATTTGGAGCGCTTTCAGGCCTATGGTGAAAAAGGAAATATCTTCCCCTGAAAACTAGACAGAAGCATTCTCAGAAACTTATTTGTGATGTGCGCCCTCAACTAACAGTGTTGAAGCATTCTTTTGATAGAGCAGTTTGAAACACTCTTTTTGTGGAATCTGCAAGTGGATATTTGTCTAGCTTTGAGGATTTCGTTGGAAACGGGATTACATATAAAAAGCAGACAGCAGCATTCTCAGAATCTTATTTGTGATGTGCGCCCCCAACTAACAGTGTTGAACCTTTCTTTTGATAGAGCAGTTTTGAAACACTATTTTGTTAAATCTGCAAGAGGATATTTGGATAGCTTTGAGGATTTCGTTGGAAACGGGATTGTCTTCATATAAACTCTAGACAGAAGCATTCTCAGAAATTTCTTTGGGATGTTTCAATTGAAGTCACAGTGTTGAACATTCCCTTTGTTAGAGCAGGTTTGAAACACTCTTCTTGTAGTATCTGGAAGTGGACATTTGGAGCGCTCTCAGGACTACCGTGAAAAAGGAAATATCTTCCAATGAAAGCTAGATAGAAGCAATCTCAGAAACTTTTTCATGATGTATCTACTCAGCTAACAGGAGTTGAACCTTTCTTTTGGGAGAGCAGTTTTGAAACACTCTTTTTGTGGAATCTGCAAGTGGATATTTGTCTAGCTTTGAGGATTTCGTTGGAAACGGCATTACATATAAAAAGCAGACAGCCAGCATTCCCAGTAACTTCTTTGTGATGTTTGCATTCAAGTCACAGAGTTGAACATTCCCTTTCATAGAGCAGGTTTGAAACACTTTTTTTGTAGTATCTGGATGTGGACATTTGGAGCGCTTTCAGGCCTATGGTGAAAAAGGAAATATCTTCCAATAAAAGCTACATAGAGTATTCTCAGAATCTTATTTGTGATGTGCGCCCTCAACTAACAGTGTTGAAGCTTTCTTTTGATAGAGCAGTTTTGAAACACTCTTTTTGTAAAATCTGCAAGAGGATATTTGGATAGCTTTGAGGATTTCGTTGGAAACGGGATTGTCTTCATATAAACTCTAGACAGAAGCATTCTCAGAAGCTTCATTGGGATGTTTCAATTGAAGTCACAGTGTTGAACAGTCCCTTTCATAGAGCAGGTTTGAAACACTCTTTTTGTAGTATCTGGATGTGGACATTTAGAGCGATTTCAGGCCTATGGTGAAAAAGGAAATATCTTCCCCTGAAAACTAGACAGAAGCATTCTCAGAAACTTATTTGTGATGTGCGCCCTCAACTAACAGTGTTGAAGCTTTCTCTTGATAGAGCAGTTTTGAAACACTCTTTTTGTGGAATCTGCACGTGGATATTTGTCTAGCTTTGAGGATTTCGTTGGAAACGGGATTACATATAAAAAGCAGACAGCAGCATTCTCAGAAACTTATTTGTGATGTGCGCCCTCAACTAACAGTGTTGAAGCTTTATTTTGATAGAGCAGTTTTGAAACACTCTTTTTGTAATATCTGCAAGAGAATATTTGGATAGCTTTGAGGATTTCGTTGGAAACGGGATTGTCTTCATATAAACTCTAGAAAGAAGCATTCTCAGAAGCTTCATTGGGATGTTTCAATTGAAGTCACAGTGTTGAACAGTTCCTTTCATAGAACAGGTTTGAAACACTCTTTTTGCAGTATCTGGAAGTGGACATTTGGAGCGCTCTCAGGACTACGGTGAAAATGGAAATATCTTACAATAAAAGCTACATAGAAGCAATGTCAGAAACTTTTTCATGATGTATCTACTCAGCTAACAGAGTTGAACCTTCCTTTGAGAGAGCAGTTTTGAAACACTCTTTTTGTGGAATCTGCAAGTGGATATTTGTCTAGCTTTGAGGATTTCGTTGGAAACGGGATTACATATAAAAAGCAGACAGCAGCATTCCCAGAAACTTCTTTGTGATGTTTGCATTCAAGTCACAGAGTTGAACATTCCCTTTCATAGAGCAGATTTGAAACACTCTTTTTGTAGTATCTGTATGTGGACATTTGGAGCGCTTTCAGGCCTATGGTGAAAAAGGAAATATCTTCCCCTGAAAACTAGACAGAAGCATTCTCAGAAACTTATTTGTGATGTGCGCCCTCAACTAACAGTGTTGAACCTTTCTTTTGATAGAGCAGTTTTGAAACACTCTTTTTGTAGTATCTGCAAGAGGATATTTGGATAGCTTTGAGGATTTCGTTGGAAACGGGATTGTCTTCATATAAACTCTAGACAGAAGCATTCTCAGAAGCTTCATTGGGATGTTTCAATTGAAGTCACAGTGTTGAACAGTCCCTTTCATAGAGCAGGTTTGAAACACTCTTTTTGTAGTATCTGGATGTGGACATTTGGAGCGCTTTCAGGCCTATGGTGAAAAAGGAAATATCTTCCCCTGAAAACTAGACAGAAGCATTCTCAGAAACTTATTTGTGATGTGCGCCCTCAACTAACAGTGTTGAAGCTTTCTTTTGATAGAGCAGTTTTGAAACACTCTTTTTGTGGAATCTGCAAGTGGATATTTGTCTAGCTTTGAGGATTTCGTTGGAAACGGGATTACATATAAAAAGCAGACAGCAGCATTCTCAGTAAACTTATTTGTGATGTGCGCCCTCAACTAACAGTGTTGAACCTTTCTTTTGATAGAGCAGTTTTGAAACACTCTTTTTGTAATATCTGCAAGAGGATATTTGGATAGCTTTGAGGATTTCGTTGGAAACGGGATTGTCTTCATATAAACTCTAGACAGAAGCATTCTCAGAAGCTTCATTGGGATGTTTCAATTGAAGTCACACTGTTGAACAGTTCCTTTCATAGAACAGGTTTGAAACACTCTTTTTGTAGTATCTGGAAGTGGACATTTGGAGCGCTCTCAGGACTACGGTGAAAAAGGAAATATCTTCCAATAAAAGCTACATAGAAGCAATGTCAGAAACATTTTCATGATGTATCTACTCAGCTAACAGAGTTGAACCTTTCTTTTGAGAGAGCAGTTTTGAAACACTGTTTTTGTGGAATCTGCAAGTGGATATTTGTCTAGCTTTGAGGATTTCGTTGGAAACGGGATTACATATAAAAAGCAGACAGCAGCATTCCCAGAAACTTCTTTGTGATGTTTGCATTCACGTCACAGAGTTGAACATTCCCTTTCATAGAGTAGGTTTGAAACAATCTTTTTGTAGTATCTGGATGTGGACATTTGGAGCGCTTTCAGGCCTATGGTGAAAAAGGAAATATCTTCCCCTGAAAACTAGACAGAAGCATTCTCAGAAACGTATTTGTGATGTGCCCCCTCAACTAACAGTGTTGAAGCTTTCTTTTGATAGAGCAGTTTTGAAACACTCTTTTTGTAATATCTGCAAGAGGATATTTGGATAGCTTTGAGGATTTCGTTGGAAACGGGATTGTCTTCATATAAACTCTAGACAGAAGCATTCTCAGAAGCTTCATTGGGATGTTTCAATTGAAGTCACAGTGTTGAACAGTCCCTTTCATAAAGCAGGTTTCAAACACTCTTTTTGTAGTATCTGGATGTGGACATTTGGAGCGCTTTCAGGCCTATGGTTTAAAAGGAAATATCTTCCCCTGAAAACTAGACAGAAGCATTCTCAGAAACTTATTTGTGATGTGCGCCCTCAACTAACGGTGTTGAACCTTTCTTTTGATAGAGCAGTTTTGAAACACTCTTTTTGTAATATCTGCAAGAGGATATTTGGATAGCTTTGATGATTTCGTTGGAAACGGGATTAATTATAAAAAGCCGACAGCAGCATTCTCAGAATCTTATTTGTGATGTGCGCCCTCAACTAACAGTGTTGAAGCTTTCTTTTGATAGAGCAGTTTTGAAACACACTTTTCGTAAAATCTGCAAGAGGATATTTTGATAGCTTTGAGGATTTCGTTGGAAACGGGATTGTCTTCATATAAACTCTAGACAGAAGCATTCTCAGAAGCTTCATTGGGATGTTTCAATTAAAGTCACAGTGTTGAACAGTCCCTTTCATAGAGCAGGTTTGAAACACTCTTTTTGTAGTATCTGGAAGTGGACATTTGGAGCGCTCTCAGGACTGCGGTGAAAAAGGAAATATCTTCCAATAAAAGCTAGATAGAAGCAATGTCAGAAACTTTTTCATGATGTATCTACTCAGCTAACAGAGTTGAACCTTCCTTTGAGAGAGCAGTTTTGAAACACTCTTTTTGTGGAATCTGCAAGGGGATATTTGCCTAGCTTTGAGGATTTCGTTGGAAACGGGATTACATATAAAAAGCAGACAGCAGCATTCCCAGAAATTTCTTAGTGATGTTTGCATTCAAGTCACAGAGTTGAACATTCCCTTTCATAGAGCAGGTTTGAAACACTCTTTTTGTAGTATCTGGATGTGGACATTTGGAGCGCTTTCAGGCCTATGGTGAAAAAGGAAATATCTTCCCCTGAAAACTAGACAGAAGCATTCTCAGAATCTTATTTGTGATGTGCGCCCTCAACTAACAGTGTTGAAGCTTTCTTTTGATAGAGCAGTTTTGAAACACTCTTTTTGTAAAATCTGCAAGAGGATATTTGGATAGCTTTGAGGATTTCGTTGGAAACGGGATTGTCTTCATATAAACTCCAGACAAAAGCATTCTCAGAAGCTTCATTGGGATGTTTCAATTGAAGTCACAGTGTTGAACAGTCCCTTTCATAGAGCAGGTTTGAAACACTCTTTTTGTAGTATCTGGAAGTGGACATTTGGAGAGATCTCAGGAATACGGAGAAAAAGGAAATATCTTCTCCTGAAAACTAGACAGAAGCATTCCCAGAAACTTCTTTGTGATGTTTGCATTCAAGTCACAGAGTTGAACATTCCGTTTCATAGAGCAGGTTTGAAACACTCTTTTTGTAGTATCTGGATGTGGATATTTGGAGTGCTTTCAGGCCTATGGTGAAGAAGGAAATATCTTCCCCTGAAAACTAGACAGAAGCATTCTCAGAATCTTATTTGTGATGTGCGCCCTCAACTAACAGTGTTGAACTTTTCTTTTGATAGAGCAGTTTTGAAACACTCTTTTTGTAAAATCTGCAAGAGGATATTTGGATAGCTTTGAGGATTTCGTTGGAAACGGGATTGTCTTCATATAAAATCTAGACAGAAGCATTCTCAGAAGCTTCATTGGGATGTTTCAATTGAAGTCACAGTGTTGAACAGTCCCTTTCATAGAGCAGGTTTGAAACACTCTTTTTGTAGTATCTGGAAGTGGACATTTGGAGCGCTCTCAGGACTACGGTGAAAAAGGAAATATCTTCCAATAAAAGCTAGATAGAAGCAATGTCAGAAACTTTTTCATGATGTATCTACTCAGCTAACAGAGTTGAACCTTTCCTTTGAGAGAGCAGTTTTGAAACACTTTTTTTGTGGAATCTGCAGGTGGATATTTGTCTAGCTTTGAGGATTTCGCTGGAAACGGGATTACATATAAAAAGCAGACAGCAGCATTCCCAGAAACTCCTTTGTGATGTTTGCATTCAAGTCACAGAGTTGAACATTCCCTTTCATAGAGCAGGTTTGAAACACTCTTTTTGTAGTATCTGGATGTGGACATTTGGAGCGCTTTCAGGCCTATGGTGAAAAAGGAAATATCTTCCCCTGAAAACTAGACAGAAGCATTCTCAGAATCTTATTTGTGATGTGCGCCCTCAACTAACAGTGTTGAAGCTTTCTTTTGATAGAACAGTTTTGAAACACTCTTTTTGTAAAATCTCCAAGAGGATATTTGGATAGCTTTGTGGATTTCGTTGGAAACGGGATTGTCTCCATATAAACTCTAGACAGAAGCATTCTCAGAAGCTTCATTGGGATGTTTCAATTGAAGTCACAGTGTTGAACAGTCCCTTTCATAGAGCAGGTTTGAAACACTCTTCTTGTAGTATCTGGATGTGGACATTTGGAGCGCTTTCAGGCCTATGGTTTAAAAGGAAATATCTTCCCCTGAAAACTAGACAGAAGCATTCTCAGAAACTTATTTGTGATGTGCGCCCTCAACTAACAGTGTTGAAGCATTCTTTTGATAGAGCAGTTTTGAAACACTCTTTTTGTGGAATCTGCAAGTGGATATTTGTCTAGCTTTGAGGATTTCGTTGGAAACGGGATTACATATAAAAAGCAGACAGCAGCATTCTCAGAAACTTATTTGTGATGTGCGCCCTCAACTAACAGTGTTGAAGCTTTCTTTTGATAGAGCAGTTTTGAAACACTCTTTTTGTAATATCTGCAAGAGGATATTTGGATAGCTTTGAGGATTTCGTTGGAAACGGGATTAATTATACAAAGCAGACAGCAGCATTCTCAGAATCTTCATTGGGATGTTTCAATTGAAGTCACAGTGTTGAACAGTTCCTTTCATAGAACAGGTTTGAAACACTCTTTTTGTAGTATCTGGAAGTGGACATTTGGAGCGCTCTCAGGACTATGGTGAAAAAGGAAATATCTTCCAATAAAAGCTACATAGAAGCAATATCAGAAACTTTTTTATGACGTATCTACTCAGCTAACAGAGTTGAACCTTTCTTTTGAGAGAGCAGTTTTGAAACACTCTTTTTGTGGAATCTGCAAGTGGATATTTGTCTAGCTTTGAGGATTGATTTGGAAACGGGATTACATATAAAAAGCAGACAGCAGCATTCCCAGAAACTACTTTGTGATGTTTGCATTCAAGTCACAGACTTGAACATTCCCTTTCATAGAGCAGGTTTGAAACACTCTTTTTGTAGTATCTGGATGTGGACATTTGGAGCGCTTTCAGGCCTATGGTGAAAAAGGAAGTATCTTCCCCTGAAAACTAGACAGAAGCATTCTCAGAAACTTATTTGTGATGTGCGCCCTCAACTAACAGTGTTGAAGCTTTCTTTTGATAGAGCAGTTTTGAAACACTCTTTTTGTAAAATCTGCAAGAGGATATTTGGATAGCTTTGAGGATTTCGTTGGAAACGGGATTGTCTTCATATAAACTCTAGACAGAAGCATTCCCAGAAACTTCTTTGTGATGTTTGCATTCACGTCACAGAGTTGAACATTCCCTTTCATAGAGCAGGTTTGAAACACTTTTTTTGTATTATCTGGATGTGGACATTTGGAGCGCTTTCAGGCCTATGGTGAAAAAGGAAATATCTTCCAATAAAAGCTACATAGAAGTAATGTCAGAAACTTTTTCATGATGTATCTACTCAGCTAACAGAGTTGAACCTTTCTTTTGAGAGAGCAGTTTTGAAACACTCTTTTTGTGGAATCTGGAAGTGGATATTTGTCTAGCTTTGAGGATTTCGTTGGAAACGGGATTACATATAAAAAGCAGACAGCAGCATTCCCAGTAACTTCTTTGTGATGATTGCATTCAAGTCACAGAGTTGAACATTCCCTTTCATAGAGCAGGTTTGAAACACTCTTTTTGTAGTATCTGGATGTGGACATTTGGAGCGCTTTCAGGCCTATGGTGAAAAAGGAAATATCTTCCCAAGAAAACTAGACAGAAGTAGTCTCAGAAAGTTATTTGTGAAGTGCGCCCTCAACTAACAGTGTTGAAGCTTTCTTTTGATAGAGTAGTTTTGAAACATTCTTTTTGTAAAATCTGCAAGAGGATATTTGGATAGCTTTGAGGATTTCGTTGGAAACGGGATTGTCTTCATATAAACTCTAGACAGAAGCATTCTCAGAAGCGTCATTAGGATGTTTCAATTGAAGTCACAGTGTTGAACAGTCCCTTTCATAGAGCAGGTTTGAAACACTCTTTTTGTAGTATCTGGATGTGGACATTTGGAGCGCTTTCAGGCCTATGGTTTAAAAGGAAATATCTTCCCCTGAAAACTAGACAGAAGCATTCTCAGAAACTTATTTGTGATGTGCGCCCTCAACTAACAGTGTTGAAGCTTTCTTTTGATAGAGCAGTTTTGAAACACTCTTTTTGTAATATCTGCAAGAGGATATTTGGATAGCTTTGAGGATTTCGTTGGAAACGGGATTAATTATAAAAAGCAGACAGCAGCATTCTCAGAAACTTATTTGTGATGTGCGCCCTCAACTAACAGTGTTGAAGCTTTCTTTTGATAGAGCAGTTTTGAAACACTCTTTTTGTAATATCTGCAAGAGGATATTTGGATAGCTTTGAGGATTTCGTTGGAAACGGGATTAATTATACAAAGCAGACAGCAGCATTCTCAGAAGCTTCATTGGGATGTTTCAATTGAAGTCACAGTGTTGAACAGTCCCTTTCATAGAGCAGGTTTGAAACACTCTTTTTGTAGTATCTGGAAGTGGACATTTGGAGCGCTCTCAGGACTACGGTGAAAAAGGAAATATCTTCCAATAAAAGCTAGATAGAAGCAATGTCAGAAACTTTTTCATGATGTATCTACTCAGCTAACAGAGTTGAACCTTTCTTTTGAGAGAGCAGTTTTGAAACACTCTTTTTGTGGAATCTGCAATTGGATATTTGTTTAGCTTTGAGGATTTCGTTGGAAACGGGATTACATATAAAAAGCAGACAGCAGCATTCCCAGAAACTTCTTTGTGATGTTTGCATTCAAGTCACAGAGTTGAACATTCCCTTTCGTAGAGCAGGTTTGAAACACTCTTTTTGTAGTATCTGGATGTGGACATTTGGAGCGCTCTCAGGCCTATGGTGAAAAAGGAAATATCTTCCCCTGCAAACTACACAGAAGCATTCTCAGAAACTAATTTGTGATGTGCGCCCTCAACTAACAGTGTTGAAGCTTTCTTTTGATAGAGCAGTTTTGAAACACTCTTTTTGTAATATCTGCAAGAGGATATTTGGATATCTTTGAGGATTTCGTTGGAAACGGGATTGTCCTCATATAAACTCTAGACAGAAGCATTCTCAGAAGCTTCATTGGGATGTTTCAATTGAAGTCACAGTGTTGAACAGTCCCTTTCATAGAGCAGGTTTGAAACACTCTTTTTGTAGTATCTGGATGTGGACATTTGGAGCGCTTTCAGGCCTATGGTTTAAAAGGAAATATCTTCCCCTGAAAACTAGACAAAAGCATTCCCAGTAACTTCTTTGTGATGTTTGCATTCAAGTCACAGAGTTGAACATTCCCTTTCATAGAGCAGGTTTGAAACACTCTTTTTGTAGTATCTGGATGTGTACATTTGCAGCGCTTTCAGGCCTAAGGTGAAAAAGGAAATATCTTCCCCTGAAAACTAGACAGAAGCATTCTCAGAAACTTATTTGTGATGTGCGCCCTCAACTAACAGTGTTGAAGCTTTCTTTTGATAGAGCACTTTTGAAACACTCTTTTTGTAATATCTGCAAGAGGATATTTGGATAGCTTTGAGGATTTCGTTGGAAACGGGTTTGTCTTCATATAAACTCTAGACAGAAGCATTCTCAGAAGCTTCATTGGGATGTTTCAATTGAAGTCACAGTGTTGAACAGTTCCTTTCATAGAACAGGTTTGAAACACTCTTTTTGTAGTATCTGGAAGTGGACATTTGGAGCGCTCTCAGGACTATGGTGAAAAAGGAAATATCTTCCAATAAAAGCTACATAGAAGCAATATCAGAAACTTTTTCATGATGTATCTACTCAGCTAAAAGAGTTGAACCATTCTTTTGAGAGAGCAGTTTTGAAACACTATTTTTGTGGAATCTGCAAGTGGATATTTGTCTAGCTTTGAGGATTTCGATGGAAACGGGATTACATATAAAAAGCAGACAGCAGCATTCCCAGAAACTTCTTTGTGATGTTTGCATTCAAGTCACAGAGTTGAACATTCCCTTTCATAGAGCAGGTTTGAAACACTCTTTTTGTAGTATCTGGATGTGGACATTTGGAGCGCTTTCAGGCCTATGGTGAAAAAGGAAATATCTTCCCCTGAAAACTAGACAGAAGCATTCTCAGAATCTTATTTGTGATGTGCGCCCTCAACTAACAGTGTTGAAGCTTTCTTTTGATAGAGCAGTTTTGAAACACTCTTTTCGTAAAATCTGGAAGAGGATATTTGGATAGCTTTGAGGATTACGTTGGAAACGGGATTGTCTTCATATAAACTCTAGACAGAAGCATTCTCAGATGCTTCATTGGGATGTTTCAATTGAAGTCACAGTGTTGAACAGTCCCATTCATAGAGCAGGTTTGAAACACTCTTTTTGTAGTATCTGGATGTGGACATTTGGAGCGCTTTCAGGCCTATGGTAAAAAAGGAAATATCTTCCCCTGAAAACTAGACAGAAGCATTCTCAGAAACTTATTTGTGATGTGCGCCCTCAACTAACAGTGTTGAAGCATTCTTTTGATAGAGCAGTTTTGAAACACTCTTTTTGTGGAATCTGCAAGTGGATGTTTGTCTAGCTTTGAGGATTTCGTTGGAAACGGGATTACATATAAAAAGCAGACAGCAGCATTCTCAGTAAACTTATTTGTGATGTGCGCCCTCAACTAACAGTGTTGAACCTTTCTTTTGATAGAGCAGTTTTGAAACACTCTTTTTGTAATATCTGCAAGAGGATATTTGGATAGCTTTGAGGATTTCGTTGGAAACGGGATTGTCTTCATATAAACTCTAGACAGAAGCATTCTCAGAAGCTTCATTGGGATGTTTCAATTGAAGTCACAGTGTTGAACAGTCCCTTTCATAGAGCATGTTTGAAACACTCTTTTTGTAGTATCTGGAAGTTGACATTTGGAGCGTTTTCAGGACTACAGTGAAAAAGGAAATATCTTCTAAATAAAGATAGATAGAAGCAATGTCAGAAAATTTTTCATGATGTATCTACTCAGCTAACAGAATTGAAACTTTCTTTTGAGAGAGCAGTTTTGAAACACTCTTTTTGTGGATTCTGCAAGTGGATATTTGTCTAGCTTTGAGGATTTCGTTGGAAACGGGATTACATATAAAAAGCAGACAGCTGCATTCCCAGAATCTTCTTTCTGATGTTTGCATTCAAGTCACAGAGTTGAACATTCCCTTTCATAGAGCAGGTTTGAAACACTCTTTTTGTAGTATCTGGATGTGGACATTTGGAGCGCTTTCAGGCCTATGGTGAAAAAGGAAATATCTTCCCCTGAAAACTAGACAGAAGCATTCTCAGAAACTTATTTGTGATGTGCGCCCTCAACTAACAGTGTTGAAGCTTTCTTTTGATAGAGCAGTTTTGAAACACTCTTTTTGTAATATCTGCAAGAGGATATTTGGATAGCTTTGAGGATTTCGTTGGAAACGGGATTGTCTTCATATAAACTCTAGGCAGAAGCATTCTCAGAAGCTTCATTGGGATGTTTCAATTGAAGTCACAGTGTTGAACAGTCCCTTTCATAGAGCAGGTTTGAAACACTCTTTTTGTAGTATCTGGATGTGGACATTTGGAGCGCTTTCAGGCATATGGTGAAAAAGGAAATATCTTCCCCTGAAAACTAGACAGAAGCATTCTCAGAAACTTATTTGTGATGTGCGCCCTCAACTAACAGTGTTGAAGCTTTCTTTTGATAGAGCAGTTTTGAAACACTCTTTTTGTGGAATCTGCAAGTGGATATTTGTCTAGCTTTGAGGATTTCGTTGGAAACGGGATTACATATAAAAAGCAGACAGCAGCATTCTCAGCAAACTTATTTGTGATGTGCGCCCTCAACTAACAGTGTGGAACTTTTCTTTTGATAGAGCAGTTTTGAAACACTCTTTTTGTAAAATCTGCAAGAGGATATTTGGATAGCTTTGAGGATTTCGTTGGAAACGGGATTGTCTTCATATAGAATCTAGACAGAAGCATTCTCAGAAGCTTCATTGGGATGTTTCAATTGAAGTCACAGTGTTGAACAGTCCCTTTCATAGAGCAGGTTTGAAACACTCTTTTTGTAGTATCTGGAAGTGGACATTTGGAGCGCTCTCAGGACTGCGGTGAAAAAGGAAATATCTTCCAATAAAAGCTAGATAGAAGCAATGTCAGAAACTTTTTCATGATGTATCTACTCAGCTAACAGAGTTGAACCTTTCTTTTGAGAGAGCAGTTTTGAAACACTCTTTTTGTAAAATCTGCAAGAGGATATTTGGATAGCTTTGAGGATTTCGTTGGAAACGGGATTGTCTTCATATAAACTCTAGACAGATGCATTCCCAGAAACTTCTTTGTGATGTTTGCATTCAAGTCACAGAGTTGAACATTCCCTTTCATAGAGCAGGCTTGAAACACTCTTTTTGTAGTATCTGGATGTGGACATTTGGAGCGCTTTCAGGCCTATGGTGAAAAAGGAAATATCTTCCCCTGAAAACTAGACAGAAGCATTCTCAGAATCTTATTTGTGATGTGCGCCCTCAACTAACAGTGTTGAAGCTTTCTTTTGATAGAGCAGTTTTGAAACACTCTTTTTGTAAAATCTGCAAGAGGATATTTGGATAGCTTTGAGGATTTCGGTGGAAACAGGATTGTCTTCATATAAACTCTAGACAGAAGCATTCTCAGAAGCTTCATTGGGATGTTTCAATTGAAGTCACAGTGTTGAACAGTCCCTTTCATAGAGCAGGTTTGAAACACTCTTTTTGTAGTATCTGGAAGTGGACATTTGGAGCGCTCTCAGGACTGCGGTGAAAAAGGAAATATCTTCCAATAAAAGCTAGATAGAAGCAATGTGAGAAACTTTTTCATGATGTATCTACTCAGCTAAAAGAGTTGAACCTTTCTTTTGAGAGAGCAGTTTTGAAACACTCTTTTTGTGGAATCTGCAAGTGGATATTTGTCTAGCTTTGAGGATTTCTTTGGAAACGGGATTACATATAAAAAGCAGACAGCAGCATTCCCAGAAACTTCTTTGTGATGTTTGCATTCAAGTCACAGAGTTGAACATTCCCTTTCATAGAGCAGGTTTGAAACACTCTTTTTGTAGTATCTGGATGTGGACATTTGCAGCGCTTTCAGGCCTAAGGTGAAAAAGGAAATATCTTCCCCTGAAAACTAGACAAAAGCATTCTCAGAATCTTATTTGTGATGTGCGCCCTCAACTAACAGTGTTGAAGCTTTCTTTTGATAGAGCAGTTTTGAAACACTCTTTTTGTAAAATCTGCAAGAGGATATTTGCATAGCTTTGAGGATTTCATTGGAAACGGGATTGTCTTCATATAAACTGTAGACAGAAGCATTCTCAGAAGCTTCATTGGGATGTTTCAATTGAAGTCACAGTGTTGAACAGTCCCTTTCATAGAGCAGGTTTGAAACACTCTTTTTGTAGTATCTGGATGTGGACATTTGGAGCGCTTTCAGGCCTATGGTTTAAAAGGAAATATCTTCCCCTGAAAACTAGACAGAAGCATTCCCAGAAACTTCTTTGTGATGTTTGCATTCAAGTCACAGAGTTGAACATTCCCTTTCATAGAGCAGGTTTGAAACACTCTTTTTGTAGTATCTGGATGTGGACATTTGGAGCGCTTTCAGGCCTATGGTGAAAAAGGTAATATCTTCCCCTGAAAACTAGACAGAAGCATTCTCAGAATCTTATTTCTGATGTGCGCCCTCAACTAACAGTGTTGAAGCTTTCTTTTGATAGAGCAGTTTTGAAACCCTCTTTTTGTAAAATCTGCAAGAGGATATTTGGATAGCTTTGAGGATTTCGTTGGAAACGGTATTGTCTTCATATAAACTCTAGACAGAAGCATTCTCAGAAGCTTTATTGGGATGTTTCAATTGAAGTCACAGTGTTGAACAGTCCCTTTCATAGAGCAGGTTTGAAACACTCTTTTTGTAGTATCTGGAAGTGGACATTTGGAGCGCTCTCAGGACTACGGTGAAAAAGGAAATATCTTCCAATAAAAGCTAGATAGAAGCAATGTCAGAAACTTTTTCGTGAAGTATCTACTCAGGTAACAGAGTTGAACCTTTCTTTTGAGAGAGCAGTTTTGAAACACTCTTTTTGTGGAATCTGCAAGTGGATATTTGTCTAGCTTTGAGGATTTCGTTGGAAACGGGATTACATATAAAAAGCAGACAGCAGCATTCCCAGAATCTTGTTTGTGATGTTTGCATTCAAAAAACAGAGTTGAACATTCCCTTTCAGAGAGCAGGTTTGAAACACTCTTTTTATAGTATCTGGATGTGGACATTTGGAGCGCTTTCAGGCCTATGGTGAAAAAGGAAATATCTTCTCCTGAAAACTAGACAGAAGCATTCTCAGAATCTTATTTGTGATGTGCGCCCTCAACTAACAGTGTTGAAGCTTTCTTTTGATAGAGCAGTTTTGAAACACTCTTTTCGTAAAATCTGCAAGAGGATATTTTGATAGCTTTGAGGATTTCGTTGGAAACGGGATTGTCTTCATATAAACTCTAGACAGAAGCATTCTCAGAAGCTTCATTGGGATGTTTCAATTGAAGTCACAGTGTTGAACAGTCCCTTTCATAGAGCAGGTTTGAAACACTCTTTTTGTAGTATCTGGATGTGGACATTTGGAGCGCTTTCAGGCCTATGGTGAAAAAGGAAATATCTTCCCCTGAAAACTAGACAGAAGCATTCTCAGAAACTTATTTGTGATGTGCGCCCTCAACTAACAGTGTTGAAGCTTTCTTTTGATAGAGCAGTTTTGAAACACTCTTTTTGTGGAATCTGCAAGTGGATATTTGTCTAGCTTTGAGGATTTCGTTGGAAACGGGATTACATATAAAAAGCAGACAGCAGCATTCTCAGTAAACTTATTTGTGATGTGCGCCCTCAACTAACAGTGTTGAACCTTTCTTTTGATAGAGCAGTTTTGAAACACTCTTTTTGTAATATCTGCAAGAGGATATTTGGATAGCTTTGAGGATTTCGTTGGAAACGGGATTGTCTTCATATAAACTCTAGACAGAAGCATTCTCAGAAGCTTCATTGGGATGTTTCAATTAAAGTCACAGTGTTGAACAGTCCCTTTCATAGAGCAGGTTTGAAACACTCTTTTTGTAGTATCTGGAAGTGGACATTTGGAGCGCTCTCAGGACTGCGGTGAAAAAGGAAATATCTTCCAATAAAAGCTAGATAGAAGCAATGTCAGAAACTTTTTCATGATGTATCTACTCAGCTAACAGAGTTGAACCTTCCTTTGAGAGAGCAGTTTTGAAACACTCTTTTTGTGGAATCTGCAAGTGGATATTTGTCTAGCTTTGAGGATTTCGTTGGAAACGGGATTACATATAAAAAGCAGACAGCAGCATTCCCAGAAACTTCTTTGTGATATTTGCATTCAAGTCACAGACTTGTACATTCCCTTTCATAGAGCAGGTTTGAAACACTCTTTTTGTAGTGTCTGGATGTGGACATTTGGAGCGCTTTCAGGCCTATGGTGAAAAAGGAAATATCTTCCCCTGAAAACTAGACAGAAGCATTCTCAGAAACTTATTTGTGATGTGCGCCCTCAACTAACAGTGTTGAAGCTTTCTTTTGATAGAGCAGTTTTGAAACACTCTTTTTGTAATATCTGCAAGAGGATATTTGGATAGCTTTGAGGATTTCGTTGGAAACGGGATTGTCTTCATATAAACTCTAGACAGAAGCATTCTCAGAAGCTTCATTGGGATGTTTCAATTGAAGTCACAGTGTTGAACAGTCCCTTTCATAGAGCAGGTTTGAAACACTCTTTTTGTAGTATCTGGATGTGGACATTTGGAGCGCTTTCAGGCCTATGGTTTAAAAGGAAATATCTTCCCCTGAAAACTAGACAGAAGCATTCTCAGAAACTTATTTGTGATGTGCGCCCTCAACTAACAGTGTTGAAGCTTTCTTTTGATAGAGCGGTTTTGAAACACTCTTTTTGAATATCTGCAAGAGGATATTTGGATAGCTTTGAGGATTTCGTTGGAAACGGGATTAATTATAAAAAGCAGACAGCAGCATTCTCAGAAACTTATTTGTGATGTGCGCCCTCAACTAACAGTGTTGAAGCTTTATTTTGATAGAGCAGTTTTGAAACACTCTTTTTGTAATATCTGCAAGAGAATATTTGGATAGCTTTGAGGATTTCGTTGGAAACGGGATTGTCTTCATATAAACTCTAGAAAGATGCATTCTCAGAAGCTTCATTGGGATGTTTCAATTGAAGTCACAGTGTTGAACAGTCCCTTTCATAGAGCAGGTTTGAAACACTCTTTTTGTAGCATCTGGAAGTGGACATTTGGAGCGTTCTCAGGACTACGGTGAAAAAGGAAATATCTTCCAATAAAAGCTAGATAGAAGCAATGTCAGAAACTTTTTCATGATGTATCTACTCAACTAACAGAGTTGAACCTTTCTTTTGAGAGAGCAGTTTTGAAACACTGTTTTTGTGGAATCTGCAAGTGGATATTTGTCTAGCTTTGAGGATTTCGTTGGAAACGGGATTATATATAAAAAGCAGACAGCAGCATTCCCAGAAACTTCTTTGTGATGTTTGCATTCAAGTCACAGAGTTGAACATTCCCTTTCATAGAGCAGGTTTGAAACACTCTTTTTGTAGTATCTGGATGTGGACATTTGGAGCGCTTTCAGGCCTATGGTGAAAAAGGAAATATCTTCCCCTGAAAACTAGACAGAAGCATTCTCAGAAACTTATATGTGATGTGCGCCCTCAACTAACAATGTTGAACCTTTCTTTTGATAGAGTAGTTTTGAAACACTCTTTTTGTAAAATCTGCAAGAGGATATTTGGATAGCTTTGAGGATTTCGTTGGAAACGGGATTGTCTTCATATAAACTCTAGACAGTAGCATTCTCAGAAGCGTCATTGGGATGTTTCAATTGAAGTCACAGTGTTGAACAGTCCCTTTCATAGAGCAGGTTTGAAACACTCTTTTTGTAGTATCTGGATGTGGACATTTGGAGCGCTTTCAGGCCTATGGTTTAAAAGGAAATATCTTCCCCTGAAAACTAGACAGAAGCATTCCCAGAATCTTCTTTGTGATGTTTGCATTCAAGTCCCAGAGTTGAACATTCCGTTTCATAGAGCAGGTTTGAAACACTCTTTTTATAGTATCTGGATGTGGACATTTGGAGCGCTTTCAGGCCTATGGTGAAAAAGGAAATATCTTCTCCTGAAAACAAGACAGAAGCATTCTCAGAATCTTATTTGTGATGTGCGCCCTCAGCTAACAGTGTTGAAGCTTTCTTTTGATAGAGCAGTTTTGAAACACTCTTTTCGTAAAATCTGCAAGAGGATATTTGGATAGCTTTGAGGATTTCATTGGAAACGGGATTTTCTTCATATAAACTCAAGACAGAAGCATTCTCAGAAGCTTCATTGGGATGTTTCAATTGAAGTCACAGTGTTGAAAAGTCCCTTTCATAGAGCAGGTTTGAAACACTCTTTTTGTAGTACCTGGAAATGGACATTTGGAGAGATCTCAGGACTACGGTGAAAAAGGAAATATCTTCCAATAAAAGCTACATAGAAGCAATGTCAGAAACTTTTTCGTGATGTATCTACTCAGCTAACAGCTTTGAACCTTTCTTTTGAGAGAGCAGTTTTGAAACACTCTTTTTGTGGAATCTGCAAGTGGATATTTGTCTAGCTTTGAGGATTTCGTTGGAAACGGGATTACATATAAAAAGCAGACAGCAGCATTCCCAGTAACTTCTTTGTGATGTTTGCATTCAAGTCACAGAGTTGAACATTCCCTTTCATAGAGCAGGTTTGAAACACTCTTTTTGCAGTATCTGGATGTGGACATTTGGAGCGCTTTCAGGCCTATGGTGAAAAAGGAAATATCTTCCCCTGAAAACTAGACAGAAGCATTCTCAGAAACTTATTTGTGATGTGCGCCCTCAACTAACAGTGTTGAAGCTTTCTTTTGATAGAGCAGTTTTGAAACACTCTTTTTGTAAAATCTGCAAGAGGATATTTGGATAGCTTTGAGGATTTCGGTGGAAACGGGATTGTCTTCATATAAACTCTAGACAGAAGCATTCTCAGAAGCTTCATTGGGATGTTTCAATTGAAGTCACAGTGTTGAACAGTCCCTTTCATAGAGCAGGTTTGAAACACTCTTTTTGTAGTATCTGGATGTGGACATTTGGAGCGCTTTCAGGCCTATGGTGAAAAAGGAAATATCTTCCCCTGAAAACTAGACAGAAGCATTCTCAGAAACTTATTTGTGATGTGCGCCCTCAACTAACAGTGTTGAACCTTTCTTTTGATAGAGCAGTTTTGAAACACTCTTTTTGTAATATCTGCAAGAGGATATTTGGATAGATTTGAGGATTTCGTTGGAAACGGGATTACATATAAAAAGCAGACAGCAGCATTCTCAGTAAACTTATTTGTGATGTGCGCCCTCAACTAACAGTGTTGAACCTTTCTTTTGATAGAGCAGTTTTGAAACACTCTTTTTGTAATATCTGCAAGAGGATATTTGGATAGCTTTGAGGATTTCGTTGGAAACGGGATTGTCTTCATATAAACTCTAGACAGAAGCATTCTCAGAAGCTTCATTGGGATGTTTCAATTGAAGTCACAGTGTTGAACAGTCCCTTTCATAGAGCAGGTTTGAAACACTCTTTTTGTAGTATCTGGAAGTGGACATTTGGAGCGCTCTCAGGACTATGGTGAAAAAGGAAATATCTTCCAATAAAAGCTACATAGAAGCAATGTCAGAAACTTTTTCATGATGTATCTACTCAGCTAACAGAGTTGAACCTTTCCTTTGAGAGAGCAGTTTTGAAACACTCTTTTTGTGGAATCTGCAAGTGGATATTTGTCTAGCTTTGAGGATTTCGTTGGAAACGGGATTACATATAAAAAGCAGACAGCAGCATTCCCAGAAACTTCTTTGTGATATTTGCATTCAAGTCACGGACTTGAACATTCCCTTTCATAGAGCATGTTTGAAACACTCTTTTTGTAGTATCTGGATGTGGACATTTGGAGCGCTTTCAGGCCTATGGTGAAAAAGGAAATATCTTCCCCTGAAAACTAGACAGAAGCATTCTCAGAAACTTATTTGTGATGTGCGCCCTCAACTAACAGTGTTGAACCTTTCTTTTGATAGAGCAGTTTTGAAACACACTTTTTGTAAAATCTGCAAGACGATATTTGCATAGCTTTGACGATTTCGTTGGAAACGGGATTGTCTTCATATAAAATCTAGACAGAAACATTCTCAGAAGCGTCATTGGGATGTTTCAATTGAAGTCACAGTGTTGAACAGTCCCTTTCATAGAGCAGGTTTGAAACACTCTTTTTGTAGTATCTGGATGTGGACATTTGGAGCGCTTTCAGGCCTATGGTTTAAAAGGAAATATCTTCCCCTGAAAACTAGACAGAAGCATTCTCAGAAACTTATTTGTGATGTGCGCCCTCAACTAACAGTGTTGAAGCTTTCTTTTGATAGAGCAGTTTTGAAACACTCTTTTTGTGGAATCTGCAAGTGGATATTTGTCTAGCTTTGAGGATTTCGTTGGAAACGGGATTACATATAAAAAGCAGACAGCAGCATTCTCAGTAAACTTATTTGTGATGTGCGCCCTCAACTAACAGTGTTGAACCTTTCTTTTGATAGAGCAGTTTTGAAACACTCTTTTTGTAATATCTGCAAGAGGATATTTGGA
This sequence comes from Homo sapiens, assembly GCF_000001405.40. Lineage (NCBI taxonomy): Eukaryota > Metazoa > Chordata > Mammalia > Primates > Hominidae > Homo > Homo sapiens. Next base: position 93,873,037 of record NC_000002.12, read on the forward strand.
TAGCTTTGAGGATTTCGTTGGAAACGGGATTGTCTTCATATAAACTCTAGACAGAAGCATTCTCAGAAGCTTCATTGGGATGTTTCAATTGAAGTCACAGTGTTGAACAGTCCCTTTCATAGAGCAGGTTTGAAACACTCTTTTTGTAGTATCTGGAAGTGGACATTTGGAGCGTTCTCAGGACTATGGTGAAAAAGGAAATATCTTCCAATAAAAGCTACATAGAAGCAATGTCAGAAACTTTTTCATGATGTGTCTACTCAGCTAACAGAGTTGAACCTTTCTTTTGAGAGAGCAGTTTTGAAACACTCTTTTTGTGGAATCTGCAAGTGGATATTTGTCTAGCTTTGAGGATTTCGTTGGAAACGGGATTACATATAAGAAGCAGACAGCAGCATTCCCAGAATCTTCTTTGTGATGTTTGCATTCAAGTCACAGAGTTGAACATTCCCTTTCATAGAGCAGGTTTGAAACACTCTTTTTGTAGTATCTGGATGTGGACATTTGGAGCGCTTTCAGGCCTATGGTGAAAAAGGAAATATACTTCCCCTGAGAACTAGACAGAAGCATTCTCAGAATCTTATTTGTGATGTGCGCCCTCAACTAACAGAGTTGAAGCTTTCTTTTGATAGAGCAGTTTTGAAACACTCTTTTTGTAAAATCTGCAAGAGGATATTTGGATAGCTTTGAGGATTTCGTTGGAAACGGGATTGTCTTCATATAAACTCTAGACAGAAGCATTCTCAGAAGCTTCATTGGGATGTTTCAATTGAAGTCACAGTGTTGAACAGTCCCTTTCATAGAGCAGGTTTGAAACACTCTTTTTGTAGTATCTGTAAGTGGACATTTGGAGCGCTCTCAGGACTACGGTGATAAAGGAAATATCTTCCCCTGAAAACTAGACAGAAGCATTCTCAGAAACTTATTTCTGATGTGCGCCCTCAACTAACAGTGTTGAAGCATTCTTTTGATAGAGCAGTTTTGAAACACTCTTTTTGTGGAATCTGTAAGTGGATATTTGTCTAGCTTTGAGGATTTCGTTGGAAACGGGATTACATATAAAAAGCAGACAGCAGCATTCTCAGTAAACTTATTTGTGATGTGCGCCCTCAACTAACAGTGTTGAACCTTTCTTTTGATAGAGCAGTTTTGAAACACTCTTTTTGTAATATCTGCAAGAGGATATTTGGATAGCTTTGAGGATTTCGTTGGAAACGGGATTGTCTTCATATAAACTCTAGACAGAAGCATTCTCAGGAAGCTTCATTGGGATGTTTCAATTGAAGTCACAGTGTTGAACAGTTCCTTTCATAGAACAGGTTTGAAACACTCTTTTTGTAGTATCTGGAAGTGGACATTTGGAGCGCTCTCAGGACTGTGGTGAAAAAGGAAATATCTTCCAATAAAAGCTACATAGAAGCAATGTCAGAAACTTTTTCATGATGTGTCTACTCAGCTAACAGAGTTGAACCTTTCTTTTGAGAGAGCAGTTTTGTAACACTCTTTTTGTGGAATCTGCAAGTGGATATTTGTCTAGCTTTAAGGATTTCGTTGGAAACGGGATTACATATAAAAAGCAGACAGCCAGCATTCCCAGGAAACTTCTTTTTGATGTTTGCATTCAAGTCACAGGAGTTGAACATTCCCTTTCATAGGAGCAGGTTTGAAACACTCTTTTTGTAGTATCTGGATGTGGACATTTGCAGCGCTTTCAGGCCTAAGGTGAAAAAGGAAATATCTTCCCCTGAAAACTAGACAGAGCATTCTCAGAAACTTATTTGTGATGTGCGCCCTCAACTAACAGTGTTTAACCTTTCTTTTGATAGAGCAGTTTTGAAACACTCTTTTTGTAATATCTGCAAGAGGATATTTGGATAGCTTTGAGGATTTCGTTGGAAACGGGATTGTCTTCATGTAAACTCTAGACAGAAGCATTCTCAGAAGCGTCATTGGGATGTTTCAATTGAAGTCACAGTGTTGAACAGTCCCTTTCATAGAGCAGGTTTGAAACACTCTTTTTGTAGTATCTGGATGTGGACATTTGGAGCGCTTTCAGGCCTATGGTTTAAAAGGAAATATCTTCCCTTGAAAACTAGACAGAAGCATTCTCAGAAACTTATTTGTGATGTGCGCCCTCAACTAACAGTGTTGAAGCTTTCTTTTGATAGAGCAGTTTTGAAACACTCTTTTTGTGGAATCTGCAAGTGGATATTTGTCTAGCTTTGAGGATTTCGTTGGAAACGGGATTACATATAAAAAGCAGACAGCAGCATTCTCAGAAACTTATTTGTGATGTGCGCCCTCAACTAACAGTGTTGAAGCTTTCTTTTGATAGAGCAGTTTTGAAACACTCTTTTTGTAATATCTGCAAGAGGATATTTGGATAGCTTTGAGGATTTCGTTGGAAACGGGATTAATTATACAAAGCAGACAGCAGCATTCTCAGAAGCTTCATTGGGATGTTTCAATTGAAGTCACAGTGTTGAACAGTCCCTTTCATAGAGCAGGTTTGAAACACTCCTTTGTAGTATCTGGAAGTGGACATTTGGAGAGATCTCAGGAATACGGTGATAAAGGAAATATCTTCCAATAAAAGCTAGATAGAAGCAATGTCAGAAACTTTTTCATGATGTATCTACTCAGCTAACAGAGTTGAACCTTTCCTTTGAGAGAGCAGTTTTGAAACACTCTTTTTGTGGAATCTGCAAGTGGATATTTGTCTAGCTTTGAGGATTTCGTTGGAAACGGGATTACATATAAAAAGCAGACAGCAGCATTCCCAGAAACTTCTTTGTGATGTTTGCATTCAAGTCACAGAGTTGAACATTCCCTTTCATAGAGCAGGTTTGAAACACTCTTTTTGTAGTATCTGGATGTGGACATTTGGAGCGCTTTCAGCCCTATGGTGAAAAAGGAAATATCTTCCCCTGAAAACTAGACAGAAGCATTCTCAGAATCTTATTTGTGATGTGCGCCCTCAACTAACAGTGTTGAAGCTTTCTTTTGATAGAGCAGTTTTGAAACACTCTTTTTGTAAAATCTGCAAGAGGATATTTGGATAGCTTTGAGGATTTCGTTGGAAACGGGATTGTCTTCATATAAACTCTAGACAGAAGCATTCTCAGAAGCTTCATTGGGATGTTTCAATTGAAGTCACAGTGTTGAACAGTCCCTTTCATAGAGCAGGTTTGAAACACTCTTTTTGTAGTATCTGGATGTGGACATTTGCAGCGCTTTCAGGCCTATGGTGAAAAAGGAAATATCTTCCCCTGAAAACTAGACAGAAGCATTCTCAGAAACTTATTTGTGATGTGCGCCCTCAACTAACAGTGTTGAAGCTTTCTTTTGATAGAGCAGTTTTGAAACACTCTTTTTGTGGAATCTGCAAGTGGATATTTGTCTAGCTTTGAGGATTTCGTTGGAAACGGGATTACATATAAAAAGCAGACAGCAGCATTCTCAGAAACTTATTTGTGATGTGCGCCCTCAACTAACAGTGTTGAAGCTTTATTTTGATAGAGCAGTTTTGAAACACTCTTTTTGTAATATCTGCAAGAGAATATTTGGATAGCTTTGAGGATTTCGTTGGAAACGGGATTGTCTTCATATAAACTCTAGAAAGAAGCATTCTCAGAAGCTTCATTGGGATGTTTCAATTGAAGTCACAGTGTTGAACAGTTCCTTTCATAGAACAGGTTTGAAACACTCTTTTTGTAGTATCTGGAAGTGGACATTTGGAGCGCTCTCAGGACTATGGTGAAAAAGGAAATATCTTCCAATAAAAGCTACATAGAAGCAATGTCAGAAACTTTTTCATGATGTATCTACTAAGCTAGCAGAGTTGAACCTTTCTTTTGAGAGAGCAGTTTTGAAACACTCTTTTTGTGGAATCTGCAAGTGGATATTTGTCTAGCTTTGAGGATTTCGTTGGAAACGGGATTACATATGAAAAGCAGACAGCAGGATTCCCAGAAACTTCTTTGTGATGTTTGCATTAAAGTCACAGAGTTGAACATTCCCTTTCATAGAGCAGGTTTGAAACACTCTTTTTGTAGTATCTGGATGTGGACATTTGCAGCGCTTTCAGGCTTAAGGTGAAAAAGGAAATATCTTCCCCTGAAAACTAGACAGAAGCATTCTCAGAAACTTATTTGTGATGTGCGCCCTCAACTAACAGTGTTGAAGCTTTCTTTTGATAGAGCAGTTTTGAAACACTCTTTTTGTAATATCTGCAAGAGGATATTTGGATAGCTTTGAGGATTTCGTTGGAAACGGGATTGTCTTCATATAAACTCTAGGCAGAAGCATTCTCAGAAGCTTCATTGGGATGTTTCAATTGAAGTCACAGTGTTGAACAGTCCCTTTCATAGAGCAGGTTTGAAACACTCTTTTTGTAGTATCTGGATGTGGACATTTGGAGCGCTTTCAGGCCTATGGTGAAAAAGGAAATATCTTCCCCTGAAAACTAGACAGAAGCATTCTCAGAAACTTATTTGTGATGTGCCCCCTCAACTAACAGTGTTGAAGCTTTCTTTTGATAGAGCAGTTTTGAAACACTCTTTTTGTGGAATCTGCAAGTGGATATTTGTCTAGCTTTGAGGATTTCGTTGGAAACGGGATTACATATAAAAAGCAGACAGCAGCATTCTCAGTAAACTTATTTGTGATGTGCGCCCTCAACTAACAGTGTTGAACCTTTCTTTTGATAGAGCAGTTTTGAAACACTCTTTTTGTAATATCTGCAAGAGGATATTTGGATAGCTTTGAGGATTTCGTTGGAAACGGGATTGTCTTCATATAAACTCTAGACAGAAAGCATTCTCAGAAGCTTCATTGGGAAGTTTCAATTGAAGTCACAGTGTTGAACAGTTCCTTTCATAGAACAGGTTTCAAACACTCTTTTTGTAGTATCTGGAAGTGGATATTTGGAGCGCTCTCAGGACTACGGTGAAAAAGGAAATATCTTCCAATAAAAGCTACATAGAAGCAATGTCAGAAACTTTTTCATGATGTATCTACTCAGCTAACAGAGTTGAACCTTTCCTTTGAGAGAGCAGTTTTGAAACACTCTTTTTGTGGAATCTGCAAGTGGATATTTGTCTAGCTTTGAGGATTTCGTTGGAAACGGGATTACATATAAAAAGCAGACAGCAGCATTCCCAGAATCTTGTTTGTGATGTTTGCATTCAAGTCAGAGTTGAACATTCCCTTTCAGAGAGCAGGTTTGAAACACTCTTTTTATAGTATCTGGATGTGGACATTTGGAGCGCTTTCAGGCCTATGGTGAAAAAGGAAATATCTTCTCCTGAAAACTAGACAGAAGCATTCTCAGAAACTTATTTGTGATGTGCGCCCTCAACTAACAGTGTTGAACCTTTCTTTTGATAGAGCAGATTTGAAACACTCTTTTTGTAATATCTGCAAGAGGATATTTGGATAGCTTTGAGGATTTCTTTGGAAACGGGACTGTCTTCATATAAACTCTAGACAGAAGCATTCTCAGAAGCGTCATTGGGATGTTTCAATTGAAGTCACAGTGTTGAACAGTCCCTTTCATAGAGCAGGTTTGAAACACTCTTTTTGTAGTATCTGGATGTGGACATTTGGAGCGCTTTCAGGCCTATGGTTTAAAAGGAAATATCTTCCCCTGAAAACTAGACAGAAGCATTCTCAGAAACTTATTTGTGATGTGCGCCTTCAACTAACAGTGTTGAAGCATTCTTTTGATAGAGCAGTTTTGAAACACTCTTTTTGTGGAATCTGCAAGTGGATGGATATTTGTCTAGCTTTGAGGATTTCGTTGGAAACGGGATTACATATAAAAAGCAGACAGCAGCATTCTCAGAAACTTATTTGTGATGTGCGCCCTCAACTAACAGTGTTGAAGCTTTCTTTTGATAGAGCAGTTTTGAAACACTCTTTTTGTAATATCTGCAAGAGGATATTTGGATAGCTTTGAGGATTTCGTTGGAAACGGGATTAATTATACAAAGCAGACAGCAGCATTCTCAGAAGCTTCATTGGGATGTTTCAATTGAAGTCACAGTGTTGAACAGTCCCTTTCATAGAGCAGGTTTGAAACACTCTTTTTGTAGTATCTGGAAGTGGACATTTGGAGCGCTCTCAGGACTGCGGTGAAAAAGGAAATATCTTCCAATAAAAGCTAGATAGAAGCAATGTCAGAAACTTTTTCATGATGTATCTACTCAGCTAACAGAGTTGAACCTTTGTTTTGAGAGAGCCGTTTTGAAACACTCTTTTTGTGGAATCTGCAAGTGGATATTTGTCTAGCTTTGATGATTTCGTAGGAAACGGGATTACATATAAAAAGCAGACAGCAGCATTCCCAGAATCTTGTTTGTGATGTTTGCATTCAAGTGACAGAGTTGAACATTCCCTTTCAGAGAGCAGGTTTGAAACACTCTTTTTATAGTATCTGGATGTGGACATTTGGAGCGCTTTCAGGCCTATGGTGAAAAAGGAAATATCTTCTCCTGAAATCTAGACAGAAGCATTCTCAGAATCTTATTTGTGATGTGCACCCTCAACTAACAGTGTTGAAGCTTTCTTTTGATAGAGCAGTTTTGAAACACTCTTTTCGTAAAATCTGCAAGAGGACATTTGGATAGCTTTGAGGATTTCGTTGGAAACGGGATTGTCTTCATATAAACTCTAGACAGAAGCATTCTCAGAAGCTTCATTGGGATGTTTCAATTGAAGTCACAGTATTGAACAGTCCCTTTCATAGAGCAGGTTTGAAACACTCTTTTTGTAGTATCTGGATGTGGACATTTGGAGCGCTTTCAGGCCTATGGTTTAAAAGGAAATATCTTCCCCTGAAAACTAGACAGAAGCATTCTCAGAATCTTATTTGTGATGTGCGCCCTCAACTAACAGTGTTGAAGCTTTCTTTTGATAGAGCAGTTTTGAAACACTCTTTTCGTAAAATCTGCAAGAGGATATTTGGATAGCTTTGAGGATTTCGTTGGAAACGGGATTACATATAAAAAGCAGACAGCAGCATTCTCAGCAAACTTATTTGTGATGTGCGCCCTCAACTAACAGTGTGGAACTTTTCTTTTGATAGAGCAGTTTTGAAACACTCTTTTTGTAAAATCTGCAAGAGGATATTTGGATAGCTTTGAGGATTTCGTTGGAAACGGGATTGTCTTCATATAGAATCTAGACAGAAGCATTCTCAGAAGCTTCATTGGGATGTTTCAATTGAAGTCACAGTGTTGAACAGTCCCTTTCATAGAGCAGGTTTGAAACACTCTTTTTGTAGTATCTGGAAGTGGACATTTGGAGCGCTCTCAGGACTACGGTGAAAAAGGAAATATCTTCCAATAAAAGCTAGATAGAAGCAATGTCAGAAACTTTTTCATGATGTATCCACTCAGCTAACAGAGTTGAACCTTTCTTTTGAGAGAGCAGTTTTGAAACACTCTTTTTGTGGAATCTGCAAGTGGATATTTGTCTAGCTTTGAGGATTTCGTTGGAAACGGGATTACATATAAAAAGCAGACAGCAGCATTCCGAGAAACTTCTTTGTGATGTTTGCATTCAAGTCACAGAGTTGAACATTCCCTTTCATAGAGCAGGTTTGAAACACTCTTTTTGTAGTATCTGGATGTGGACATTTGGAGCGCTTTCAGGCCTATGGTGAAAAAGGAAATATCTTCCCCTGAAAACTAGACAGAAGCATTCTCAGAAACTTATTTGTGATGTGCGCCCTCAACTAAAAGTGTTGAACTTTTCTTTTGATAGAGCAGTTTTGAAACACTCTTTTTGTAAAATCTGCAAGAGGATATTTGGATAGGTTTGAGGATTTCGTTGGAAACGGGATTGTCTTCATATAAACTCTAGACAGAAGCATTCTCAGAAGCTTCATTGGGATGTTTCAATTGAAGTCACAGTGTTGAACAGTCCCTTTGATAGAGCAGGTTTGAAACACTCTTTTTGTAGTATCTGGATGTGGACATTTGCAGCGCTTTCAGGCATAAGGTGAAAAAGGAAATATCTTCCCCTGAAAACTAGACAGAAGCATTCTCAGAAACTTATTTGTGATGTGCGCCCTCAACTAACAGTGTTGAAGCTTTCTTTTGATAGAGCAGTTTTGAAACACTCTTTTTGTAATATCTGCAAGAGGATATTTGGATAGCTTTGAGGATTTCGTTGGAAACGGGATTAATTATAAAAAGCAGACAGCAGCATTCTCAGCAAACTTATTTGTGATGTGCGCCCTCAACTAACAGTGTGGAACTTTTCTTTTGATAGAGCAGTTTTGAAACACTCTTTTTGTAAAATCTGCAAGAGGATATTTGGATAGCTTTGAGGATTTCGTTGGAAACGGGATTGTCTTCATATAGAATCTAGACAGAAGCATTCTCAGAAGCTTCATTGGGATGTTTCAATTGAAGTCACAGTGTTGAACAGTCCCTTTCATAGAGCAGGTTTTAAACACTCTTTTTGTAGTATCTGGAAGTGGACATTTGGAGCGCTCTCAGGACTGCGGTGAAAAAGGAAATATCTTCCAATAAAAGCTACATAGAAGCAATGTCAGAAACATTTTCATGATGTATCTACTCAGCTAACAGAGTTGAACCTTTCTTTTGAGAGAGCAGTTTTGAAACACACTTTTTGTGGAATCTGCAAGTGGAAATTTGTCTAGATTTGAGGATTTCGTTGGAAACGGGATTACATATAAAAAGCAGACAGCAGCATTCCCAGTAACTTCTTTGTGATGTTTGCATTCAAGTCACAGAGTTGAACATTCCCTTTCATAGAGCAGGTTTGAAACACTCTTTTTGTAGTATCTGGATGTGGACATTTGGAGCGCTTTCAGGCCTATGGTGAAAAAGGAAATATCTTCCCCTGAAAACTAGACAGAAGCATTCTCAGAATCTTATTTGTGATGTGCGCCCTCAACTAACAGTGTTGAAGCTTTCTTTTGATAGAGCAGTTTTGAAACAATCTTTTTGTAAAATCTGCAAGAGGATATTTGGATAGCTTTGAGGATTTCGTTGGAAACGGGATTTTCTTCATATAAACTCTAGACAGAAGCATTCTCAGAAGCTTCATTGGGATGTTTCAATTGAAGTCACAGTGTTGAACAGTCCCTTTCATAGAGCAGGTTTGAAACACTCTTTTTGTAGTATCTGGAAGTGGACATTTGGAGCGCTTTCAGGCCTATGGTTTATAAGAAAATATCTTCCCCTGAAAACTAGACAGAAGCATTCTCAGAAACTTATTTGTGATGTGCGCCCTCAACTAACAGTGTTGAAGCATTCTTTTGATAGAGCAGTTTTGAAACACTCTTTTTGTGGAATCTGCAAGTGGATGTTTGTCTAGCTTTGAGGATTTCGTTGGAAACGGGATTACATATAAAAAGCAGACAGCAGCATTCTCAGAAACTTATTTGTGATGTGCGCCCTCAACTAACAGTGTTGAAGCTTTCTTTTGATAGAGCAGTTTTGAAACACTCTTTTTGTAATATCTGCAAGAGGATATTTGGATAGCTTTGAGGATTTCGTTGGAAACGGGATTAATTATACAAAGCAGACAGCAGCATTCTCAGAAGCTTCATTGGGATGTTTCAATTGAAGTCACAGTGTTGAACAGTCCCTTTGATAGAGCAGGTTTGAAACACTCTTTTTGTAGTATCTGGAAGTGGACATTTGGAGAGATCTCAGGAATACGGTGATAAAGGAAATATCTTCCAATAAAAGCTAGATAGAAGCAATGTCAGAAACTTTTTCATGATGTATCTACTCAGCTAACAGAGTTGAACCTTTCCTTTGAGAGAGCAGTTTTGAAACACTCTTTTTGTTGAATCTGCAAGTGGATATTTGTCTAGCTTTGAGGATTTCGTTGGAAACGGGATTACATATAAAAAGCATACAGCAGCATTCCCAGTAACTTCTTTGTGATGTTTGCATTCAAGTCACAGAGTTGAACATTCCCTTTCATAGAGCAGGTTTGAAACACTCTTTTTGTAGTATCTGGATGTGGACATTTGCAGCGCTTTCAGGCCTACGGTGAAAAAGGAAATATCTTCCCCTGAAAACTAGACAGAAGCATTCTCAGAAACTTATTTGCGATGGGCGCCCTCAACTAACAGTGTTGAAGCTTTCTTTTGATAGAGCAGTTTTGAAACACTCTTTTTGTAATATCTGCAAGAGGATATTTGGATACCTTTGAGGATTTCGTTGGAAACGGGATTGTCTTCATATAAACTCTAGACAGAAGCATTCTCAGAAGCTTCATTGGGATGTTTCAATTGAAGTTGCAGTGTTGAACAGTCCCTTTCATAGAGCAGGTTTGAAACACTCTTTTTGTAGTATCTGGATGTGGACATTTGGAGCGCTTTCAGGCCTATGGTTTAAAAGGAAATATCTTCCCCTGAAAACTAGACAGAAGCATTCTCAGAAACTTATTTGTGATGTGCGCCCTCAACTAACAGTGTTGAAGCTTTCTTTTGATAGAGCAGTTTTGAAACACTCTTTTTGTGGAATCTGCAAGTGGATATTTGTCTAGCTTTGAGGATTTCGTTGGAAACGGGATTACATATAAAAAGCAGACAGCAGCATTCTCAGAAACTTATTTGTGATGTGCGCCCTCAACTAACAGTGTTGAAGCTTTCTTTTGATAGAGCAGTTTTGAAACACTCTTTTTGTAATATCTGCAAGAGGATATTTGGATAGCTTTGAGGATTTCGTTGGAAACGGGATTAATTATACAAAGCAGACAGCAGCATTCTCAGAAGCTTCATTGGGATGTTTCAATTGAAGTCACAGTGTTGAACAGTCCCTTTCATAGAGCAGGTTTGAAACACGCTTTTTGTAGTATCTGGAAGTGGACATTTGGAGCGCTCTCAGGACTGCGGTGAAAAAGGAAATATCTTCCAATAAAAGCTAGATAGAAGCAATGTCAGAAACTTTTTCATGATGTATCTACTCAGCTAACAGAGTTGAACCTTTCTTTTGAGAGAGCAGTTTTGAAACACTCTTTTTGTGGAATCTGCAAGTGGATATTTGTCTAGCTTTGAGGATTTCGTTGGAAACGGGATTACATATAAAAAGCAGACAGCAGCATTCCCAGAAACTTCTTTGTGAAGTTTGCATTCAAGTCACAGAGTTGAACATTCCCTTTCATAGAGCAGGTTTGAAACACTCTTTTTGTAGTATCTGTATGTGGACATTTGGAGCGCTTTCAGGCCTATGGTGAAAAAGGAAATATCTTCCCCTGAAAACTAGACAGAAGCATTCTCAGAATCTTATTTGCGATGTGCGCCCTCAACTAACAGTGTTGAAGCTTTCTTTTGATAGAGCAGTTTTGAAACACTCTTTTCGTAAAATCTGCAAGAGGATATTTTGATAGCTTTGAGGATTTCGTTGGAAACGGGATTGTCTTCATATAAACTCTAGACAGAAGCATTCCCAGTAACTTGTTTGTGATGTTTCCATTCAAGTGACAGAGTTGAACATTCCCTTTCATAGAGCAGCTTTGAAACACTCTTTTTGTAGTATCTGGATGTGGACATTTGGAGCGCTTTCAGGCCTATGGTGAAAAAGGAAATATCTTCCTCTGAAAACTAGACAGAAGCATTCTCAGAAACTTATTTGTGATGTGCGCAATCAACTAACAGTGTTGAAGCTTTCTTTTGATAGAGCAGTTTTGAAACACTCTTTTTGTGGAATCTGCAAGTGGATATTTGTCTAGCTTTGAGGATTTCGTTGGAAACGGGATTACATATAAAAAGAAGACAGCAGCATTCTCAGAAACTTATTTGTGATGTGCGCCCTCAACTAACAGTGTTGAAGCTTTCTTTTGATAGAGCAGTTTTGAAACACTCTTTTTGTAATATCTGCAAGAGGATATTTGGATAGCTTTGAGGATTTCGTTGGAAACGGGATTAATTATACAAAGCAGACAGCAGCATTCTCAGAAGCTTCATTGGGATGTTTCAATTGAAGTCACAGTGTTGAACAGTTCCTTTCATAGAACAGGTTTGAAACACTCTTTTTGTAGTATCTGGAAGTGGACATTTGGAGCGCTCCCAGGACTATGGTGAAAAAGGAAATATCTTCCAATAAAAGCTACATAGAAGCAATGTCAGAAAATTTTTCATGATGTATCTACTCAGCTAACAGAGTTGAACCTTTCTTTTGCGAGAGCAGTTTTGAAACACTCTTTTTGTGGAATCTGCAAGTGGATATTTGTCTAGCTTTGAGGATTGCGTTGGAAACGGGATTACATATAAAAAGCAGACAGCAGCATTCCCAGAAACTTCTTTGCGATGTTTGCATTCAAGTCACAGAGTTGAACATTCCCTTTCATAGAGCAGGTTTGAAACACTCTTTTTGTAGTATCTGGATGTGGACATTTGGAGCGCTTTCAGGCCTATGGTGAAAAAGGAAATATCTTCCTCTGAAAACTAGACAGAAGCATTCTCAGAATTTTATTTGTGATGTGCGCCCTCAACTAACAGTGTTGAAGCTTTCTTTTGATAGAGCAGTTTTGAAACACTCTTTTTGTAAAATCTGCTAGAGGATATTTGGATAGCTTTGAGGATTTCTTTGGAAACGGGATTGTCTTCATATAAACTCTAGACAGAAGCATTCTCAGATGCTTCATTGGGATGTTTCAATTGAAGTCACAGTGTTGAACAGTCCCTTTCATAGAGCAGGTTTGAAACACTCTTTTTGTAGTATCTGGATGTGGACATTTGGAGCGCTTTCAGGCCTATGGTGAAAAAGGAAATATCTTCCCCTGAAAACTAGACAGAAGCATTCTCAGAAACTTATTTGTGATGTGCGCCTTCAACTAACAGTGTTGAAGCATTCTTTTGATAGAGCAGTTTTGAAACACTCTTTTTGTGGAATCTGCAAGTGGATATTTGTCTAGCTTTGAGGATTTCGTTGGAAACGGGATTACATATAAAAAGCAGACAGCTAAGCATTCTCCGAAACTTATTTGTGATGGGCGCCCTCAACTAACAGTGTTGAAGCTTTCTTTTGATAGAGCAGTTTTGAAACACTCTTTTTGTAATATCTGCAAGAGGATATTTGGATAGCTTTCAGGATTTCGTTGGAAACGGGATTGTCTTCATATAAACTCTAGACATAAGCATTCTCAGAAGCTTCATTGGGATGTTTCAATTGAAGTCACAGTGTTGAACAGTCCCTTTCATAGAGCAGGTTTGAAACACTCTTTTTGTAGTATCTGGAAGTGGACATTTGGAGCGCTCACAGGACTGCGGTGAAAAAGGAAATATCTTCCAATAAAAGCTAGATAGAAGCAATGTCAGAAACTTTTTCATGATGTATCTACTCAGCTAACAGAGTTGAACCTTTCTTTTGAGAGAGCAGTTTTGAAACACTCTTTTTGTGGAATCTGCAAGCGGATATTTTTCTAGCTTTGAGGATTTCGTTGGAAACGGGATTACATATAAAAAGCAGACAGCAGCATTCCCAGAAATTTCTTTGTGAAGTTTGCATTCAAGTCACAGAGTTAAACATGCCCTTCCATAGAGCAGGTTTGAAACACTCTTTTTGTAGTATCTGTATGTGGACATTTGGAGCGCTTTCAGGCCTATGGTGAAAAAGGAAATATCTTCCCCTTAAAACTAGACAGAAGCATTCTCAGAATCTTATTTGTGATGTGCGCCCTCAACTAACAGTGTTGAAGCTTTCTTTTGATAGAGCAGTTTTGAAACACTCTTTTTGTAAAATCTGCAAGATTATATTTGGATAGCTTTGAGGATTTCTTTGGAAACGGGATTGTCCTCATATAAACTCTAGACAGAAGCATTCCCAGAAACTTCTTTGTGATGTTTGCATTCACGTCACAGAGTTGAACATTCCCTTTCATAGAGCAGGTTTGAAACACTCTTTTTGTAGTATCTGGATGTGGACATTTGGAGCGCTTTCAGGCCTATGGTGAAAAAGGAAGTATCTTCCCCTGAAAACTAGACAGAAGCATTCTCAGAAACTTATTTGTGATGTGCGCCCTCAACTAACAGTGTTGGAGCTTTCTTTTGATAGAGCAGTTTTGAAACACTCTTTTTGTAATATCTGCAAGAGGATATTTGGATAGCTTTGAGGATTTCGTTGGAAACGGGATTAATTATAAAAAGCAGACAGCAGCATTCTCAGAAACTTATTTGTGATGTGCGCCCTCAACTAACAGTGTTGAAGCTTTCTTTTGATAGAGCAGTTTTGAAACACTCTTTTTGTAATATCTGCAAGAGGATATTTGGATAGCTTTGAGGATTTCGTTGGAAACGGGATTAATTATACAAAGCAGACAGCAGCATTCTCAGAAGCTTCATTGGGATGTTTCAATTGAAGTCACAGTGTTGAACAGTCCCTTTCATAGAGCAGGTTTGAAACACTCTTTTTGTAGTATCTGGAAGTGGACATTTGGAGAGATCTCAGGAATACGGTGATAAAGGAAATATCTTCCAATAAAAGCTAGATAGAAGCAATGTCAGAAACTTTTTCATGATGTATCTACTCAGCTAACAGAGTTGAACCTTTCCTTTCAGAGAGCAGTTTTGAAACACTCTTTTTGTGGAATCTGCAAGTGGATATTTGTCTAGCTTTGAGGATTTCGTTGGAAACGGGAGTACATATAAAAAGCAGACAGCAGCATTCCCAGAAACTTCATTGTGATGTTTGCATTCACGTCACAGAGTTGAACATTCCCTTTCATAGAGCAGGTTTGAAACACTCTTTTTGTAGTATCTGGATGTGGACATTTGGAGCGCTTTCAGGCCTATGGTGAAAAAGGAAATATCTTCCCCTGAAAACTAGACAGAAGCATTCTCAGAAACTTATTTGTGATGTGCGCCCTCAACTAACAGTGTTGAACCTTTCTTTTGATAGAGCAGTTTTGAAACACTCTTTTTGTAATATCTGCAAGAGGATATTTGGATAGCTTTGAGGATTTCGTTGGAAACGGGATTAATTATAAAAAGCAGACAGCAGCATTCTCAGAAACTTATTTGTGATGTGCGCCCTCAACTAACAGTGTTGAAGCTTTCTTTTGATAGAGCAGTTTTGAAACACTCTTTTTGTAATATCTGCAAGAGGATATTTGGATAGCTTTGAGGATTTCGTTGGAAACGGGATTAATTATACAAAGCAGACAGCAGCATTCTCAGAAGCTTCATTGGGACGTTTCAATTGAAGTCACAGTGGTGAACAGTTCCTTTCATAGAACAGGTTTGAAACACTCTTTTTGTAGTATCTGGAAGTGGACATTTGGAGCGCTCTCAGGACTATGGTGAAAAAGGAAATATCTTCCAATAAAAGCTACATAGAAGAAATGTCAGAAACTTTTTCATGATGTATCTACTCAGCTAACAGAGTTGAACATTTCCTTTGAGAGAGCAGTTTTGAAACACTCTTTTTGTGGAATCTGTAAGTGGATATTTGTCTAGCTTTGAGGATTGCGTTGGAAACGGGATTACATATAAAAAGCAGACAGCAGCATTCCCAGAATCTTGTTTGTGATGTTTGCATTCAAGTCACAGAGTTGAACATTCCCTTTCAGAGAGCAGGTTTGAAACACTCTTTTTATAGTATCTGGATGTGGACATTTGGAGCGCTTTCAGGCCTATGGTGAAAAAGGAAATATCTTCTCCTGAAAACTAGACAGAAGCATTCTCAGAAACTTATTTGTGATGTGCGCCCTCAACTAACAGTGTTGAACCTTTCTTTTGATAGAGCAGTTTTGAAACACTCTTTTTGTAATATCTGCAAGAGGATATTTGGATAGCTTTGAGGATTTCGTTGGAAACGGGATTGTCTTCATATAAACTCTAGACAGAAGCATTCTCAGAAGCTTCATTGGGATGTTTCAATTGAAGTCACAGTGTTGAACAGTCCCTTTCATAGAGCAGGTTTGAAACACTCTTTTTGTAGTATCTGGATGTGGACATTTGGAGCGCTTTCAGGCCTATGGTGAAAAAGGAAATATCTTCCCCTGAAAACTAGACAGAAGCATTCCCAGAAACTTCTTTGTGATATTTGCATTCAAGTCACAGACTTGAACATTCCCTTTCATAGAGCAGGTTTGAAACACTCTTTTTGTAGTATCTGGATGTGGACATTTGGAGCGCTTTCAGGCCTATGGTGAAAAAGGAAATATCTTCCCCTGAAAACTAGATAGAAGCATTCTCAGAAACTTATTTGTGATGTGCGCCCTCAACTAACAGTGTTGAACCTTTCTTTTGATAGAGCAGTTTTGAAACACTCTTTTTGTAAAATCTGCAAGAGGATATTTGGATAGCTTTGAGGATTTCGTTGGAAACGGGATTGTCTTCATATTAACCCTAGACAGTAGCATTCTCAGTAAGCTTCATTGGGATGTTTCAATTGAAGTCACAGTGTTGAACAGTCCCTTTCATAGAGCAGGTTTGAAACACTCTTTTTGTAGCATCTGGAAGTGGACATTTGGAGCGTTCTCAGGACTACGGTGAAAAAGGAAATATCTTCCAATAAAAGCTAGATAGAAGCAATGTCAGAAAATTTTTCATGATGTATCTACTCAGCTAACAGAGTTGAACCTTTCTTTTGAGAGAGCAGTTTTGAAACACTCTTTTTGTGGAATCTGCAAGTGGATATTTGTCTAGCTTTGAGGATTGCGATGGAAACGGGATTACATATAAAAAGCAGACAGCAGCATTCCCAGAAACTTCTTTGTGATATTTGCATTCAAGTCACAGACTTGAACATTCCCTTTCATAGAGCAGGTTTGAAACACTCTTTTTGTAGTATCTGGATGTGGACATTTGGAGCGCTCTCAGGCCTATGGTGAAAAAGGAAATATCTTCCCCTGAAAACTAGACAGAAGCATTCTCAGAAACTTATTTGTGATGTGCGCCCTCAACTAACAGTGTTGAAGCTTTCTTTTCATAGAGCAGTTTTGCAACACTCTTTTTGTAAAATCTGCAAGAGGATATTTGGATAGCTTTGAGGATTTCGGTGGAAATGGGATTGTCTTCATATAAACTCTAGACAGTAGCATTCTCAGAAGCTTCATTGGGATGTTTCAATTGAAGTCACAGTGTTGAACAGTCCCTTTCATAGAGCAGGTTTGAAACACTCTTTTTGTAGCATCTGGAAATGGTCATTTTGAGCGTTCTCAGGACTACGGTGAAAAGGGAAATATCTTCCAATAAAAGCTAGATAGAAGCATTCTCAGAAACTTATTTGTGATGTGCGCCTTCAACTAACAGTGTTGAAGCATTCTTTTGATAGAGCAGTTTTGAAACACTCTTTTTGTGGAATCTGCAAGTGGATATTTGTCTAGCTTTGAGGATTTCGTTGGAAACGGGATTACATATAAAAAGCAGACAGCAGCATTCTCAGTAAACTTATTTGTGATGTGCGCCCTCAACTAACAGTGTTGAACCTTTCTTTTGATAGAGCAGTTTTGAAACACTCTTTTTGTAATATCTGCAAGAGGATATTTGGATAGCTTTGAGGATTTCGTTGGAAACGGGATTGTCTTCATATAAACTCTAGACAGAAGCATTCTCAGAAGCTTCATTGGGATGTTTCAATTGAAGTCACAGTGTTGAACAGTCCCTTTCATAGAGCAGGTTTGAAACACTCTTTTTGTAGTATCTGGACGTGGACATTTGGAGCGCTCTCAGGACTACGGTGAAAAAGGAAATATCTTCCAATAAAAGCTAGATAGAAACAATGTCAGAAACTTTTTCATGATGTATCTACTCAGCTAACAGAGTTGAACCTTCCTTTGAGAGAGCAGTTTTGAAACACTCTTTTTGTGGAATCTGCAAGTGGATATTTGTCTAGCTTTGAGGATTTCGTTGGAAACGGGATTACATATAAAAAGCAGACAGCAGCATTCCCAGAAACTTCTTTGTGATGTTTGCATTCAAGTCACAGAGTTGAACATTGCCTTTCATAGAGCAGGTTTGAAACACTCTTTTTGTAGTATCTGGATGTGGACATTTGGAGCGCTTTCAGGCCTATGGTGAAAAAGGAAATATCTTCCCCTGAAAACTAGACAGAAGCATTCTCAGAATCTTATTTGTGATGTGCGCCCTCAACTAACAGTGTTGAAGCTTTCTTTTGATAGAGCAGTTTTGAAACACTCTTTTTGTAAAATCTGCAAGAGGATATTTGGATAGCTTTGAGGATTTCGTTGGAAACGGGATTGTCTTCATATAAACTCTAGACAGAAGCATTCTCAGAAGCTTCATTGGGATGTTTCAATTGAAGTCACAGTGTTGAACAGTCCCTTTCATAGAGCAGGTTTGAAACACTCTTTTTGTAGTATCTGGATGTGGACATTTCGAGCGCTTTCAGGCCTATGGTGAAAAAGGAAATATCTTCCCCTGAAAACTAGACAGAAGCATTCTCAGAAACTTATTTGTGATGTGCGCCCTCAACTAACAGTGTTGAAGCTTTCTTTTGATAGAGCAGTTTTGAAACACTCTTTTTGTGGAATCTGCAAGTGGATATTTGTCTAGCTTTGAGGATTTCGTTGGAAACGGGATTACATATAAAAAGCAGACAGCAGCATTCTCAGAAACTTATTTGTGATGTGCGCCCTCAACTAACAGTGTTGAACCTTTCTTTTGATAGAGCAGTTTTGAAACACCCTTTTTGTAAAATCTGCAAGAGGATATTTGGATAGCTTTGAGGATTTCGTTGGAAACGGGATTGTCTTCATATAAACTCTAGACAGAAGCATTCTCAGAAGCTTCATTGAGATGTTTCAATTGAAGTCACAGTGTTGAACAGTCCCTTTCATAGAGCAGGTTTGAAACACTATTTTTGTAGTATCTGGAAGTGGACATTTGGAGAGATCTCAGGAATACGGTGATAAAGGAAATATCTTCCAATAAAAGCTAGATAGAAACAATGTCAGAAAATTTTTCATGATGTATCTACTCACCTAACAGAGTTGAACCTTTCTTTTGAGAGAGCAGTTTTGAAACACTCTTTTTCTGGAATCTGCAGGTGGATATTTGTCTAGCTTTCAGGATTTCGTTGGAAACGGGATTACATATACAAAGCAGACAGCAGCATTCCCAGAATCTTGTTTGTCATGTTTGCATTCAAGTCACAGAGTTGAACATTCCCTTTCAGAGAGCAGGTTTGAAACACTCTTTTTATAGTATCTGGATGTGGACATTTGGAGCGCTTTCAGGCCTATGGTGAAAAAGGAAATATCTTCTCCTGAAAACTAGACAGAAGCATTCTCAGAATCTTATTTGTGATGTGCGCCCTCAACTAACAGTGTTGAAGCTTTCTTTTGATAGAGCAGTTTTGAAACACTCTTTTCGTAAAATCTGCAAGAGGATATTTGGATAGCTTTGAGGATTTCGTTGGAAACGGGATTGTCTTCATATAAACTCTAGACAGAAGCATTCTCAGAAGCTTCATTGGGATGTTTCAATTGAAGTCACAGTGTTGAACAGTCCCTTTGATAGAGCAGGTTTGAAACACTCTTTTTGTAGTATCTGGATGTGGACATTTGCAGCGCTTTCAGGCATAAGGTGAAAAAGGAAATATCTTCCCCTGAAAACTAGACAGAAGCATTCTCAGAAACTTATTTGTGATGTGCGCCTTCAACTAACAGTGTTGAAGCATTCTTTTGATAGAGCAGTTTTGAAACACTCTTTTTGTGGAATCTGCAAGTGGATATTTGTCTAGCTTTGAGGATTTCGTTGGAAACGGGATTACATATAAAAAGCAGACAGCAGCATTCTCAGAATCTTATTTGTGATGTGCGCCCTCAACTAACAGTGTTGAAGCTTTCTTTTGATAGAGCAGTTTTGAAACACTCTTTTTGTAAAATCTGCAAGACGATATTTGGATAGCTTTGAGGATTTCATTGGAAACGGGATTGTCTTCATATAAACTCTAGACAGAAGCATTCTCAGAAGCTTCATTGGGATGTTTCAATTGAAGTCACAGTGTTGAACAGTCCCTTTCATAGAGCAGGTTTGAAACACTCTTTTTGTAGTATCTGGAAGTGGACATTTGGAGCGCTCTCAGGACTGCGGTGAAAAAGGAAATATCTTCCAATAAAAGCTAGATAGAAGCAATGTCAGAAACTTTTTCATGATGTATCTACTCAGCTAAAAGAGTTGAACCTTTCTTTTGAGAGAGCAGTTTTGAAACACTATTTTTGTGGAATCTGCAAGTGGATATTTGTCTAGCTTTGAGGATTTCGTTGGAAACGGGATTACATATAAAAAGCAGACAGCAGCATTCCCAGAAACTTCTTTGTGATGTTTGCATTCAAGTCACAGAGTTGAACATTCCCTTTCATAGAGCAGGTTTGAAACACTCTTTTTGTAGTATCTGGATGTGGACATTTGGAGCGCTTTCAGGCCTATGGTGAAAAAGGAAATATCTTCCCCTGAAAACTAGACAGAAGCATACTCAGAATCTTATTTGTGATGTGCGCCCTCAACTAACAGTGTTGAAACTTTCTTTTGATAGAGCAGTTTTGAAACACTCTTTTTGTAAAATCTGCAAGAGGATATTTGGATAGCTTTGAGGATTTCGTTGGAAACGGTATTGTCTTCATATAAACTCTAGACAGAAGCATTCTCAGAAGCTTCATTGGGATGTTTCAATTGAAGTCACAGTGTTGAACAGTCCCTTTCATAGAGCAGGTTTGAAACACTCTTTTTGTAGTATCTGGAAGTGGACATTTGGAGAGATCTCAGGAATACGGTGAAAAAGGAAATATCTTCTCCTGAAAACTAGACAGAAGCATTCTCAGAAACTTATTTGTGATGTGCGCCCTCAACTAACAGTGTTGAAGCTTTCTCTTGATAGAGCAGTTTTGAAACACTCTTTTTGTGGAATCTGCAAGTGGATATTTGTCTAGCTTTGAGGATTTCGTTGGAAACGGGATTACATATAAAAAGCAGACAGCAGCATTCTCAGAAACTTATTTGTGATGTGCGCCCTCAACTAACAGTGTTGAAGCTTTCTTTTGATAGAGCAGTTTTGAAACACTCTTTTTGTAATATCTGCAAGAGGATATTTGGATAGCTTTGAGGATTTCGTTGGAAACGGGATTAATTATACAAAGCAGACAGCAGCATTCTCAGAAAGCTTCATTGGGATGTTTCAATTGAAGTCACAGTGTTGAACAGTCCCTTTCATAGAGCAGGTTTGAAACACTCTTTTTGTAGTATCTGGAAGTGGACATTTGGAGAGATCTCAGGAATACGGTGATAAAGGTAATATCTTCCAATAAAAGCTAGATAGAAGCAATGTCAGAAACTTTTTCATGATGTATCTACTCAGCTAACAGAGTTGAACCTTTCTTTTGAGAGAGCAGTTTTGAAACACTCTTTTTTTGGAATCTGCAAGTGGATATTTGTCTAGCTTTGAGGATTTCGTTGGAAACGGGATTACATATAAAAAGCAGACAGCAGCATTCCCACAAACTTCTTTGTGATGTTTGCATTCAAGTCACAGAGTTGAACATTCCCTTTCATAGAGCAGGTTTGAAACACTCTTTTTGTAGTATCTGGATGTGGACATTTGGAGCGCTTTCAGGCCTATGGTGAAAAAGGAAATATCTTCCCCTGAAAACTAAACAGAAGCATTCTCAGAAACTTATTTGTGATGTGCGCCCTCAACTAACAGTGTTGAAGCTTTCTTTTGAGAGAGCAGTTTTGAAACACTCTTTTTGTGGAATCTGCAAGTGGATATTTGTCTAGCTTTGAGGATTTCGTTGGAAACGGGATTACATATAAAAAGCAGACAGCAGCATTCCCAGAATCTTGTTTGTGATGTTTGCATTCAAGTCACAGTGTTGAACATTCCCTTTCATAGAGCAGGTTTGAAACACTCTTTTTGTAGTATCTGGATGTGGACATTTGGAGCGCTTTCAGGCCTATGGTGAAAAAGGAAATATCTTCCCCTGAAAACTAGACAGAAGCATTCTCAGAATCTTATTTGTGATGTGCGCCCTCAACTAACAGAGTTGAAGCTTTCTTTTGATAGAGCAGTTTTGAAACACTCTTTTTGTAAAATCTGCAAGAGGATATTTGGATAGCTTTGAGGATTTCGTTGGAAACGGGATTGTCTTCATATAAACTCTAGACAGAAGCATTCTCGGAAGCTTCATTGGGATGTTTCAATTGAAGTCACAGTGTTGAACAGTCCCTTTCATAGAGCAGGTTTGAAACACTCTTTTTGTAGTATCTGGATGTGGACATTTGGAGCGCTTTCAGGCCTATGGTGAAAAAGGAAATATCTTCCCCTGAAAACTAGACAGAAGCATTCTCAGAAACTTATTTGTGATGTGCGCCCTCAACTAACAGTGTTGAACCTTTCTTTTGATAGAGCAGTTTTGAAACACTCTTTTTGTAATATCTGCAAGAGGATATTTGGATAGCTTTGAGGATTTCGTTGGAAACGGGATTACATATAAAAAGCAGACAGCAGCATTCTCAGCAAACTTATTTGTGATGTGCGCCCTCAACTAACAGTGTGGAACTTTTCTTTTGATAGAGCAGTTTTGAAACACTCTTTTTGTAAAATCTGCAAGAGGATATTTGGATAGCTTTGAGGATTTCGTTGGAAACGGGATTGTCTTCATATAGAATCTAGACAGAAGCATTCTCAGAAGCTTCATTGGGATGTTTCAATTGAAGTCACAGTGTTGAACAGTCCCTTTCATAGAGCAGGTTTGAAACACTCTTTTTGTAGTATCTGGAAGTGGACATTTGGAGCGCTCTCAGGACTACGGTGAAAAAGGAAATATCTTCCAATAAAAGCTACATAGAAGCAATGTCAGAAACTTTTTCATGATGTATCTACTCAGCTAACAGAGTTGAACCTTCCTTTGAGAGAGCAGTTTTGAAACACTCTTTTTGTGGAATCTGCAAGTGGATATTTGTCTAGCTTTGAGGATTTCGTTGGAAACGGGATTACATATAAAAAGCAGACAGCAGCATTCCCAGTAACTTCTTTGTGATCTTTGCATTCAAGTCACAGAGTTGAACATTCCCTTTCATAGAGCAGGTTTGAAACACTCTTTTTGAAGTATCTGGATGTGGACATTTGGAGCACTTTCAGGCCTATGGTGAAAAAGGAAATATCTTCCCCTGAAAACTAGACAGAAGCATTCTCAGAAACTTATTTGTGATGTGCGCCCTCAACTAACAGTGTTTGAACATTTCTTTTGATAGAGCAGTTTTGAAACACTCTTTTTGTAAAATCTGCAAGAGGATATTTGGATAGCTTTGAGGATTTCGTTGGAAACGGGATTGTCTTCATATAAAATCTAGACAGAAGCATTCTCAGAAGCTTCATTGGGATGTTTCAATTGAAGTCACAGTGTTGAACAGTCCCTTTCATAGAGCAGGTTTCAAACACTCTTTTTGTAGTATCTGGATGTGGACATTTGGAGCGCTTTCAGGCCTATGGTTTAAAAGGAAATATCTTCCCCTGAAAACTAGACAGAAGCATTCTCAGAAACTTATTTGTGATGTGCGCCCTCAACTAACAGTGTTGAAGCATTCTTTTGATAGAGCAGTTTTGAAACACTCTTTTTGTGGAATCTGCAAGTGGATATTTGTACTAGCTTTGAGGATTTCGTTGGAAACGGGATTACATATAAAAAGCAGACAGCAGCATTCTCAGTAAACTTATTTGTGATGTGCGCCCTCAACTAACAGTGTTGAACCTTTCTTTTGATAGAGCAGTTTTGAAACACTCTTTTTGTAATATCTGCAAGAGGATATTTGGATAGCTTTGAGGATTTCGTTGGAAACGGGATTGTCTTCATATAAACTCTAGACAGAAGCATTCTCAGAAGCTTCATTGAGATGTTTCAATTGAAGTCACAGTGTTGAAAAGTCCCTTTCATAGAGCAGGTTTGAAACACTCTTTTTGTAGTATCTGGAAGTGGACATTTGGAGCGCTCTCAGGACTACGGTGAAAAAGGAAATATCTTCCAATAAAACCTACATAGAAGCAATGTCAGAAACATTTTCATGATGTATCTACTCAGCCAACAGAGTTGAACCTTTCTTTTGAGAGAGCAGTTTTGAAACACTCTTTTTGTGGAATCTGCAAGTGGATATTTGTCTAGCTTTGAGGATTTCGTTGGAAACGGGATTACATATAAAAAGCAGACAGCAGCATTCCCAGAAACTTCTTTGTGATGTTTGCATTCAAGTCACAGAGTTGAACATTCCCTTTCATAGAGCAGGTTTGAAACACTCTTTTTGTAGTATCTGGATGTGGACATTTGCAGCGCTTTCAGGCCTAAGGTGAAAAAGGAAATATCTTCCCCTGAAAACTAGACAGAAGCATTCTCAGAAACTTATTTGTGATGTGCGCCCTCAACTAACAGTGTTGAACCTTTCTGTTGATAGAGCAGTTTTGAAACACTCTTTTTGTAAAATCTGCAAGAGGATATTTGGATAGCTTTGAGGATTTCGTTGGAAACGGGATTGTCTTCATATAGAATCTAGACAGAAAGCATTCTCAGAAGCTTCATTGGGATGTTTCAATTGAAGTCACAGTGTTGAACAGTCCCTTTCATAGAGCAGGTTTGAAACACTCTTTTTGTAGTATCTGGATGTGGACATTTGGAGCGCTTTCAGGCCTATGGTGAAAAAGGAAATATCTTCCCCTGAAAACTAGACAGAAGCATTCTCAGAAACTTATTTGTGATGTGCGCCCTCAACTAACAGTGTTGAAGCATTCTTTTGATAGAGCAGTTTTGAAATACTCTTTTTGTGGAATCTGCAAGTAGATATTTGTCTAGCTTTGAGGATTTCGTTGGAAACGGGATTACATATAAAAAGCAGACAGCAGCATTCTCAGAATCTTATTTGTGATGTGCGCCCTCAACTAACAGTGTTGAAGCTTTCTTTTGATAGAGCAGTTTTGAAACACTCTTTTTGTAAAATATGCAAGAGGATATTTGGATAGCTTTGAGGATTTCTTTGGAAACGGGATTGTCTTCATATAAACTCTAGACAGAAGCATTCTCAGAAGCTTCATTGGGATGTTTCAATTGAAGTCACAGTGTTGAACAGTCCCTTTCATAGAGCAGGTTTGAAACACTCGTTTTGTAGTATCTGGAAGTGGACATTTGGAGCGCTCTCAGGACTACGGTGAAAAAGGAAGTATCTTCCAATAAAAGCTAGATAGAAGCAATGTCAGAAACTTTTTCATGATGTATCTACTCAGCTAACAGAGTTGAACCTTTCTTTTGAGAGAGCAGTTTTGAAACACTCTTTTTGTGGAATCTGCAAGTGGATATTTGTCTAGCTTTGAGGATTTCGTTGGAAACGGGATTACATATAAAAAGCAGACAGCAGCATTCCCAGTAACTTCTTTGTGATGTTTGCATTCAAGTCACAGAGTTGAACATTCCCTTTCATAGAGCACGTTTGAAACACTCTTTTTGTAGTATCTGGATGTGGACATTTGGAGCGCTTTCAGGCCTATGGTGAAAAAGGAAATATCTTCCCCTGAAAACTAGACAGAAGCATTCTCAGAAACTTATTTGTGATGTGCGCCCTCAACTAACAGTGTTAAACATTTCTTTTGATAGAGTAGTTTTGAAACACTCTTTTTGTAAAATCTGCAAGAGGATATTTGGATAGCTTTGAGGATTTCATTGGAAACGGGATTGTCTTCATATAAACTCTAGACAGTAGCATTCTCAGAAGCGTCATTGGGATGTTTCAATTGAAGTCACAGTGTTGAACAGTCCCTTTCATAGAGCAGGTTTGAAACACTCTTTTTGTAGTATCTGGATGTGGACATTTGGAGCGCTTTCAGGCCTATGGTTTAAAAGGAAATATCTTCCCCTGAAAACTAGACAGAAGCATTCTCAGAAACTTATTTGTGATGTGCGCCCTCAACTAACAGTGTTGAAGCTTTCTTTTGATAGAGCAGTTTTGAAACACTCTTTTTGTAATATCTGCAAGAGGACATTTGGATAGCTTTGAGGATTTCGTTGGAAACGGGATTAATTATAAAAAGCAGACAGCAGCATTCTCAGTAAACTTATTTGTGATGTGCGCCCTCAACTAACAGTGTTGAACCTTTCTTTTGATAGAGCAGTTTTGAAACACTCTTTTTGTAATATCTGCAAGAGGATATTTGGATAGCTTTGAGGATTTCGTTGGAAACGGGATTGTCTTCATATAAACTCTAGACAGAAGCATTCTCAGAAGCTTCATTGGGATGTTTCAATTGAAGTCACAGTGTTGAACAGTCCCTTTCATAGAGCAGGTTTGAAACACTCTTTTTGTAGTATCTGGAAGTGGACATTTGGAGAGATCTCAGGAATGCGGTGATAAAGGAAATATCATCCAATAAAAGCTAGATAGAAGCAATGTCAGAAACTATTTCATGATGTATCTACTCAGCTAACAGAGTTGAACCTTCCGTTGAGAGAGCAGTTTTGAAACACTCTTTTTGTGGAATCTGCAAGTGGATATTTGTCTAGCTTTGAGGATTTCGTTGGAAACGGGATTACGTATAAAAAGCAGACAGCAGCATTCCCAGTAACTTCTTTGTGATGTTTGCATTCAAGTCACAGAGTTGAACATTCCCTTTCATAGAGCAGGTTTGAAACACTTTTTTTGTAGTATCTGGATGTGGACATTTAGAGCGCTTTCAGGCCTATGGTGAAAAAGGAAATATCTTCTCCTGAAAACTAGACAGAAGCATTCTCAGAATCTTATTTGTGATGTGCGCCCTCAACTAACAGTGTTGAAGCTTTCTTTTGATAGAGCAGTTTTGAAACACTCTTTTCGTAAAATCTGTAAGAGGATATTTGGATAGCTTTGAGGATTTCGTTGGAAACGGGATTGTCTTCATATAAACTCTAGACAAAAGCATTCTCAGAAGCTTCATTGGGATGTTTCAATTGAAGTCACAGTGTTGAACAGTCCCTTTCATAGAGCAGGTTTGAAACACTCTTTTTGTAGTATCTGGAAGTGGACATTTGGAGCGCTTTCAGGCCTATGGTTTATAAGAAAATATCTTCCCCTGAAAACTAGACAGAAGCATTCTCAGAAACTTATTTGTGATGTGCGCCCTCAACTAACAGTGTTGAAGCTTTCTTTTGATAGAGCAGTTTTGAAACACTCTTTTTGTGGAATCAGCAAGTGGATATTTGTCTAGCTTTGAGGATTTCGTTGGAATCGGGATTACATATAAAAAGCAGACAGCAAGCATTCTCAGAATCTTATTTGTGATGTGCGCCCTCAACTAACAGTGTTGAAGCTTTCTTTTGATAGAGCAGTTTTGAAACACTCTTTTCGTAAAATCTGCAAGAGGATATTTTGATAGCTTTGAGGATTACGTTGGAAACGGGATTGTCTTCATATAAACTCTAGACAGAAGCATTCTCAGAAGCTTCATTGGGATGTTTCAATTATAGTCACAGTGTTGAACAGTCCCTTTCATAGAGCAGGTTTGAAACACTCTTTTTGTAGTATCTGGAAGTGGACATTTGGAGCGCTCTCAGGACTGCGGTGAAAAAGGAAATATCTTCCAATAAAAGCTAGATAGAAGCAATGTCAGAAACTTTTTCATGATGTATCTACTCAGCTAACAGAGTTGAACGTTTCTTTTGAGAGAGCAGTTTTGAAACACTCTTTTTGTGGAATCTGCAAGTGGATATTTGTCTAGCTTTGAGGATTTCGTTGGAAACGGGATTACATATAAAAAGCAGACAGCAAGCATTCCCAGAAACTTCTTTGTGATGTTTGCATTCAAGTCACAGAGTTGAACATTCCCTTTCATAGAGCAGGTTTGAAACACTCTTTTTGTAGTATCTGGATGTGGACATTTGGAGCGCTTTCAGGCCTATGGTGAAAAAGGAAATATCTTCCCCTGAAAACTAGACAGAAGCATTCTCAGAATCTTATTTGTGATGTGCGCCCTCAACTAACAGTGTTGAAGCTTTCTTTTGATAGAGCAGATTTGAAACACTCTTTTTGTAAAATCTGCAAGAGGATATTTGCATAGCTTTGAGGATTTCATTGGAAACGGGATTGTCTTCAAATAAACTCTAGACAGAAGCATTCTCAGAAGCGTCATTGGGATGTTTCAATTGAAGTCACAGTGTTGAACAGTCCCTTTCATAGAGCAGGTTTGAAACACTCTTTTTGTAGTATCTGGATGTGGACATTTGGAGCGCTTTCAGGCCTATGGTTTAAAAGGAAATATCTTCCCCTGAAAACTAGACAGAAGCATTCTCAGAAACTTATTTCTGATGTGCGCCCTCAACTAACAGTGTTGAAGCATTCTTTTGATAGAGCAGTTTTGAAACACTCTTTTTGTGGAATCTGCAAGTGGATATTTGTCTAGCTTTGAGGATTTCGATGGAAACGGGATTACATATAAAAAGCAGACAGCAGCATTCTCAGAAACTTATTTGTGATGTGCGCCCTCAACTAACAGTGTTGAAGCTTTCTTTTGATAGAGCAGTTTTGAAACACTCTTTTTGTAATATCTGCAAGAGGATATTTGGATAGCTTTGAGGATTTCGTTGGAAACGGGATTAATTATACAAAGCAGACAGCAGCATTCTCAGAAGCTTCATTGGGATGTTTCAATTGAAGTCACAGTGTTGAACAGTTCCTTTCATAGAACAGGTTTGAAACACTCTTTTTGTAGTATCTGGAAGTGGACATTTTGAGCGCTCTCAGGACTATGGTGAAAAAGGAAATATCTTCCAATAAAAGCTACATAGAAGCAATGTCAGAAACTTTTTCATGATGTATCTACTCAGCTAACAGAGTTGAACCTTTCTTTTGAGAGAGCAGTTTTGAAACACTCTTTTTGTGGAATCTGGAAGTGGATATTTGTCTAGCTTTGAGGATTTCGTTGGAAACGGGATTACATATAAAAAGCAGACAGCAGCATTCCCAGAATCTTGTTTGTGATGTTTGCATTCATGTCACAGAGTTGAACATTCCCTTTCAGAGAGCAGGTTTGAAACACTCTTTTTATAGTATCTGGATGTGGACATTTGGAGCGCTTTCAGGCCTATGGTGAAAAAGGAAATATCTTCTCCTGAAAACTAGACAGAAGCATTCTCAGAAACTTATTTGTGATGTGCGCCCTCAACTAACAGTGTTGAACCTTTCTTTTGATAGAGCAGTTTTGAAACACTCTTTTTGTAATATCTGCAAGAGGATATTTGGATAGATTTGAGGATTTCGTTGGAAACGGGATTGTCTTCATATAAACTCTAGACAGAAGCATTCTCAGAAGCTTCATTGGGATGTTTTAATTGAAGTCACAGTGTTGAACAGTCCCTTTCATAGAGCAGGTTTGAAACACTCTTTTTGTAGTATCTGGAAGTGGACATTTGGAGAGATCTCAGGAATACGGTGTTAAAGGAAATATCTTCCAATAAAAGCTAGATAGAAGCAATGTCAGAAACTTTTTCATGATGTATCTACTCAGCTAACAGAGTTGAACCTTTCTTTTGAGAGAGCAGTTTTGAAACACTCTTTTTGTGGAATCTGCAAGTGGATATTTGTCTAGCTTTGAGGATTTCGTTGGAAACGGGATTACATATAAAAAGCAGACAGCAGCATTCCCAGAAACTTCTTTGTGAAGTTTGCATTCAAGTCACAGAGTTGAACATTCCCTTTCATAGAGCAGGTTTGAAACACTCTTTTTGTAGTATCTGGATGTGGACATTTGGAGCGCTTTCAGGCGTATGGTGAAAAAGGAAATATCTTCCCCTGAAAACTAGACAGAAGCATTCTCAGAAACTTATTTGTGATGTGCGCCCTCAACTAACAGTGTTGAAGCTTTCTTTTGATAGAGCAGTTTTGAAACACTCTTTTTGTAATATCTGCAAGAGGATATTTGGATAGCTTTGAGGATTTCGTTGGAAACGGGATTGTCTTCATATAAACTCTAGACAGAAGCATTCTCAGAAGCTTCATTGGGATGTTTCAATTGAAGTCACAGTGTTGAACAGTCCCTTTCATAGAGCAGGTTTGAAACACTCTTTTTGTAGAATCTGGATGTGGACATTTGGAGCGCTTTCAGGCATAAGGTGAAAAAGGAAATATCTTCCCCTGAAAACTAGACAGAAGCATTCTCAGAAACTTATTTGTGATGTGCGCCCTCAACTAACAGTGTTGAAGCTTTCTTTTGATAGAGCAGTTTTGAAAAACTCTTTTTGTGGAATCTGCAAGTGGATATTTGTCTAGCTTTGAGGATTTCGTTGGAAACGGGATTACATATAAAAAGCAGACAGCAGCATTCCCAGAATCTTGTTTGTGATGTTTGCATTCAAGTCACAGAGTTGAACATTCCCTTTCAGAGAGCAGGTTTGAAACACTCTTTTTGTAGTATCTGGATGTGGACATTTGGAGCGCTTTCAGGCCTATGGTGAAAAAGGAAATATCTTCTCCTGAAATCTAGACAGAAGCATTCTCAGGAAGCTTCATTGGGATGTTTCAATTGAAGTCACAGTGTTGAACAGTCCCTTTCATAGAGCAGGTTTGAAACACTCTTTTTGTAGTATCTGGAAGTGGACATTTGGAGCGCTCTCAGGACTGCGGTGAAAAAGGAAATATCTTCCAATAAAAGCTAGATAGAAGCAATGTCAGAAACTTTTTCATGATGTATCTACTCATCTAACAGAGTTGAACCTTTCTTTTGAGAGAGCAGTTTTGAAACACTCTTTTTGTGGAATCTGCAAGTGGATATTTGTCTAGCTTTGAGGATTTCGTTGGAAACGGGATTACATATAAAAAGCAGACAGCAGCATTCCCAGAAACTTCTTTGTGATGTTTGCATTCAAGTCACAGAGTTGAACATTCCCTTTCATAGAGCAGGTTTGAAACACTCTTTTTTTAGTATCTGGATGTGGACATTTGGAGCGCTTTCAGGCCTATGGTGAAAAAGGAAATATCTTCCCCTGAAAACTAGACAGAAGCATTCTCAGAATCTTATTTGTGATGTGCGCCCTCAACTAACAGTGTTGAAGCTTTCTTTTGATAGAGCAGTTTTGAAACACTCTTTTTGTAAAATCTGCAAGAGGATATTTGGATAGCTTTGAGGATTTCGTTTGAAACGGGATTGTCTTCATATAAACTCTAGACAGAAGCATTCTCAGAAGCGTCATTGGGATGTTTCAATTGAAGTCACAGTGTTGAACAGTCCCTTTCATAGAGCAGGTTTGAAACACTCTTTTTGTAGTATCTGGATGTGGACATTTGGAGCGCTTTCAGGCCTATGGTTTAAAAGGAAATATCTTCCCCTGAAAACTAGACAGAAGCATTCTCAGAAACTTATTTGTGATGTGCGCCCTCAACTAACAGTGTTGAAGCTTTCTTTTGATAGAGCAGTTTTGAAACACTCTTTTTGTAATATCTGCAAGAGGATATTTGGATAGCTTTGAGGATTTCGTTGGAAACGGGATTAATTATAAAAAGCAGACAGCAGCATTCTCAGTAAACTTATTTGTGATGTGCGCCCTCAACTAACAGTGTTGAACCTTTCTTTTGATAGAGCAGTTTTGAAACACTCTTTTTGTAATATCTGCAAGAGGATATTTGGATAGCTTTGAGGATTTCGTTGGAAACGGGATTGTCTTCATATAAACTCTAGACAGAAGCATTCTCAGAAGCTTCAGTGGGATGTTTCAATTGAAGTCACAGTGTTGAACAGTCCCTTTCATAGAGCAGGTTTGAAACACTCTTTTTTTAGCATCTGGAAGTGGACATTTGGAGCGTTCTCAGGACTACGGTGAAAAAGGAAATATCTTCCAATAAAAGCTAGATAGAAGCAATGTCAGAAACTTTTTCATGATGTATCTACTCAGCTAACAGAGTTGAACGTTTCTTTTGAGAGAGCAGTTTTGAAACACTCTTTTTGTGGAATCTGCAAGTGGATATTTGTCTAGCTTTGAGGATTTCGTTGCAAACGGGATTACATATAAAAAGCAGACAGCAGCATTCCCAGAAACTTCTTTGTGAAATTTGCATTCAAGTCACAGAGTTGAACATTCCCTTTCATAGAGCAGGTTTGAAACACTCTTTTTGTAGTATCTGGATGTGGACATTTGGAGCGCTCTCAGGCCTATGGTGAAAAAGGGAATATCTTCCTCTGAAAACTAGACAGAAGCATTCTCAGAAACTTATTTGTGATGTGCGCCCTCAACTAACAGTGTTGAAGCTTTCTTTTGATAGAGCAGTTTTGAAACACTCTTTTTGTAATATCTGCAAGAGGATATTTGGATAGCTTTGAGGATTTCGTTGGAAACGGGATTGTCTTCATATAAACTCTAGACAGAAGCATTCTCAGAAGCTTCATTGGGATGTTTCAATTGAAGTCACAGTGTTGAACAGTCCCTTTGATAGAGCAGGTTTGAAACACTCTTTTTGTAGTATCTGGATGTGGACATTTGCAGCGCTTTCAGGCATAAGGTGAAAAAGGAAATACCTTCCCCTGAAAACTAGACAGAAGCATTCTCAGAAACTTATTTGTGATGTGCGCCCTCAACTAACAGTGTTGAAGCTTTCTTTTGATACAGCAGTTTTGAAACACTCTTTTTGTGGAATCTGCAAGTGTATATTTGTCTAGCTTTGAGGATTTCGTTGGAAACGGGATTACATATAAAAAGCAGACAGCAGCATTCTCAGTAAACTTATTTGTGATGTGCGCCCTCAACTAACAGTGTTGAACCTTTCTTTTGATAGAGCAGTTTTGAAACACTCTTTTTGTAATATCTGCAAGAGGATATTTGGATAGCTTTGAGGATTTCGTTGGAAACGGGATTGTCTTCATATAAACTCTAGACAGAAGCATTCTCAGAAGCTTCATTGGAATGTTTCAATTGAAGTCACAGTGTTGAACAGTCCCTTTCATAGAGCAGGTTTGAAACACTCTTTTTGTAGTATCTGGAAGTGGACATTTGGAGAGATCTCAGGAATACGGTGATAAAGGAAATATCTTCCAATAAAAGCTAGATAGAAGCAATGTCAGAAACTTTTTCATGATGTATCTACTCAGCTAACAGAGTTGAACCTTTCTTTTGAGAGAGCAGTTTTGAAACACTGTTTTTGTGGAATCTGCAAGTGGATATTTGTCTAGCTTTGAGGATTTCGTTGGAAACGGGATTACATATAAAAAGGAGACAGCAGCATTCCCAGTAACTTCTTTCTGATGTTTGCATTCAAGTCACAGAGTTGAACATTCCCTTTCATAGAGCAGGTTTGAAACACTCTTTTTGTAGTATCTGGATGTGGACATTTGGAGCGCTTTCAGGCCTATGGTGAAAAAGGAAATATCTTCTCCTGTAAACTAGACAGAAGCATTCTCAGAATCTTATTTGTGATGTGCGCCCTCAACTAACAGTGTTGAAGCTTTCTTTTGATAGAGCAGTTTTGAAACACTCTTTTCGTAAAATCTGCAAGAGGATATTTTGATAGCTTTGAGGATTTCGTTGGAAACGGGATTGTCTTCATATAAACTCTAGACAGAAGCATTCTCAGAAGCGTCATTGGGATGTTTCAATTGAAGTCACACTGTTGAACAGTCCCTTTCATAGAGCAGGTTTGAAACACTCTTTTTGTAGTATCTGGATGTGGACATTTGGAGCGCTTTCAGGCCTATGGTTTAAAAGGAAATATCTTCCCCTGAAAACTAGACAGAAGCATTCTCAGAAACTTATTTGTGATGTGCGCCTTCAACTAACAGTGTTGAAGCATTCTTTTGATAGAGCAGTTTTGAAACACTCTTTTTGTGGAATCTGCAAGTGGATATTTGTCTAGCTTTGAGGATTTCGTTGGAAACGGGATTACATATAAAAAGCAGACAGCTAAGCATTCTCCGAAACTTATTTGTGATGGGCGCCCTCAACTAACAGTGTTGAAGCTTTCTTTTGATAGAGCAGTTTTGAAACACTCTTTTTGTAATATCTGCAAGAGGATATTTGGATAGCTTTCAGGATTTCGTTGGAAACGGGATTGTCTTCATATAAACTCTAGACATAAGCATTCTCAGAAGCTTCATTGGGATGTTTCAATTGAAGTCACAGTGTTGAACAGTCCCTTTCATAGAGCAGGTTTGAAACACTCTTTTTGTAGTATCTGGAAGTGGACATTTGGAACGCTCTCAGGACTGCGGTGAAAAAGGAAATATCTTCCAATAAAAGCTAGATAGAAGCAATGTCAGAAACTTTTTCATGATGTATCTACTCAGCTAACAGAGTTGAACCTTTCTTTTGAGAGAGCAGTTTTGAAACACTCTTTTTGTGGAATCTGCAAGTGGATATTTGTCTAGCTTTGAGGATTTCGTTGGAAACGGGATTACATATAAAAAGCAGACAGCAGCATTCCCAGAAACTTCTTTGTGAAATTTGCATTCAAGTCACAGACTTGAACATTCCCTTTCATAGAGCAGGTTTGAAACACTCTTTTTGTAGTATCTGGATGTGGACGTTTGGAGCGCTTTCAGGCCTATGGTGAAAAAGGAAATATCTTCCCCTGAAAACTAGACAGAAGGATTCTCAGAAACTTATTTGTGATGTGCGCCGTCAACTAACAGTGTTGAACCTTTCTTTTGATAGAGTAGTTTTGAAACACTCTTTTTGTAAAATCTGCAAGAGGATATTTGGATAGCTTTGAGTATTTCGTTGGAAACGGGATTGTCTTCATATAAACTCTAGACAGTAGCATTCTGAGAAGCTTCATTGGGATGTTTCAATTGAAGTCACAGTGTTGAACAGTCCCTTTCATAGAGCAGGTTTGAAACACTCTTTTTGAAGCATCTGGAAGTGGACATTTGGAGCGCTCTCAGGACTACGGTGAAAAAGGAAATATCTTCCAATAAAAGCTAGATAGAAGCAATGTCAGAAACTTTTTCATGATGTATCTACTCAGCTAACAGAGTTGAACCTTTCTTTTGAGAGAGCAGTTTTGAAACACTCTTTTTGTGGAATCTGTAAGTGGATATTTGTGTAGCTTTGAGGATTTCGTTGGAAACGGGATTACATATAAAAAGCAGACAGCAGCATTCCCAGAAACTTCTTTGTGAAGTTTGCATTCAAGTCACAGAGTTGAACATTCCCTTTCATAGAGCAGGTTTGAAACACTCTTTTTGTAGTATCTGGATGTGGACATTTGGAGCGCTTTCAGGCCTATGGTGAAAAAGGAAATATCTTCCCCTGAAAACTAGACAGAAGCATTCTCAGAATCTTATTTGTGATGTGCGCCCTCAACTAACAGTGTTGAAGCTTTCTTTTGATGGAGCAGTTTTGAAACACTCTTTTTGTAAAATCTGCAAGAGGATATTTGGATAGCTTTGAGGATTTCGTTGGAAACGGGATTGTCTTCATATAAACTCTAGACAGAAGCATTCTCAGAAGCTTCATTGGGATGTTTCAATTGAAGTCACAGTGTTGAACAGTCCCTTTCATAGAGCAGGTTTGAAACACTCTTTTTGTAGTATCTGGATGTGGACATTTGGAGCGCTTTCAGGCCTATGGTGAAAAAGGAAATATCTTCCCCTGAAAACTAGACAGAAGCATTCTCAGAAACTTATTTGTGATGTGCGCCCTCAACTAACAGTGTTGAAGCTTTCTTTTGATAGAGCAGTTTTGAAAAACTCTTTTTGTGGAATCTGCAAGTGGATATTTGTCTAGCTTTGAGGATTTCGTTGGAAACGGGATTACATATAAAAAGCAGACAGCTAAGCATTCTCCGAAACTTATTTGTGATGGGCGCCCTCAACTAACAGTGTTGAAGCTTTCTTTTGATAGAGCAGTTTTGAAACACTCTTTTTGTAATATCTGCAAGAGGATATTTGGATAGCTTTCAGGATTTCGTTGGAAACGGGATTGTCTTCATATAAACTCTAGACATAAGCATTCTCAGAAGCTTCATTGGGATGTTTCAATTGAAGTCACAGTGTTGAACAGTCCCTTTCATAGAGCAGGTTTGAAACACTCTTTTTGTAGTATCTGGAAGTGGACATTTGGAGCGCTCTCAGGACTACGATGATAAAGGAAATATCTTCCAATAAAAGCTAGATAGAAGCAATGTCAGAAACTTTTTCATGATGTATCTACTCAGCTAACAGAGTTGAACCTTTCCTTTGAGAGAGCAGTTTTGAAACACTCTTTTTGTGGAATCTGCAAGTGGATATTTGTCTAGATTTGAGGATTTCGTTGGAAACGGGATTACATATAAAAAGCAGACAGCAGCATTCCCAGTAACTTCTTTGTGATGTTTGCATTCAAGTCACAGAATTGACCATTCCCTTTCATAGAGCAGGTTTGAAACACTCTGTTTGTAGTATCTGGATGTGGACATTTGGAGCGCTTTCAGGCCTATGGTGAAAAAGGAAATATCTTCCCCTGAAAACTAGACAGAAGCATTCTCAGAATCTTATTTGTGATGTGCGCCCTCAACTAACAGTGTTGAAGCTTTCTTTTGATAGAGCAGTTTTGAAACACTCTTTTCGTAAAATCTGCAAGAGGATATTTTGATAGCTTTGAGGATTTCGTTGGAAACGGGATTGTCTTCATATAAACTCTAGACAGAAGCATTCTCAGAAGCTTCATTGGGATGTTTCAATTGAAGTTGCAGTGTTGAACAGTCCCTTTCATAGAGCAGGTTTGAAACACTCTTTTTGTAGTATCTGGATGTGGACATTTGGAGCGCTTTCAGGCATATGGTTTAAAAGGAAATATCTTCCCCTGAAAACTAGACAGAAGCATTCTCAGAATCTTATTTGTGATGTGCGCCATCAACTAACAGTGTTGAAGCTTTCTTTTGATAGAGCAGTTTTGAAACACTCTTTCGGTGGAATCTGCAAGTGGATATTTGTCTAGCTTTGAGGATTTCGTTGGAAACGGGATTACATATAAAAAGCAGACAGCAGCATTCTCAGTAAACTTATTTGTGATGTGCGCCCTCAACTAACAGTGTTGAACCTTTCTTTTGATAGAGCAGTTTTGAAACACTCTTTTTGTAATATCTGCAAGAGGATATTTGGATAGCTTTGAGGATTTCGTTGGAAACGGGATTGTCTTCATATAAACTCTAGACAGAAGCATTCTCAGAAGCTTCATTGGGATGTTTCAATTGAAGTCACAGTGTTGAACAGTTCCTTTCATAGAACAGGTTTGAAACACTCTTTTTGTAGTATCTGGAAGTGGACATTTGGAGCGCTCTCAGGACTATGGTGAAAAAGGAAATATCTTCCAATAAAAGCTACATAGAAGCAATGTCAGAATCTTTTTCATGATGTGTCTACTCAGCTAACAGAGTTGAACCTTCCTTTGAGAGAGCAGTTTTGAAACACTCTTTTTGTGGAATCTGCAAGTGGATATTTGTCTAGCTTTGAGGATTTCGTTGGAAACGGGATTACATATAAAAAGCAGACAGCAGCATTCCCAGTAACTTCTTTGTGATGTTTGCATTCAAGTCACAAAGTTGAACATTCCCTTTCATAGAGCAGGTTTGAAACACTCTTTTTGTAGTATCTGGATGTGGACATTTGGAGCACTTTCAGGCCTATGGTGAAAAAGGAAATATCTTCCCCTGAAAACTAGACAGAAGCATTCTCAGAAACTTATTTGTGATGTGCGCCCTCAACTAACAGTGTTGAACCTTTCTTTTGATAGAGCAGTTTTGAAACACTCTTTTTGTAATATCTGCAAGAGGATATTTGGATAGCTTTGAGGATTTGCTTTGGAAACGGGATTGTCTTCATATAAACTCTAGACAGAAGCATTCTCAGAGGCTTCATTGGGATGTTTCAATTGAAGTCACAGTGTTGAACAGTTCCTTTCATAGAACAGGTTTGAAACACTCTTTTTGTAGTATCTGGAAGTGGACATTTGGAGCGCTCTCAGGACTACGGTGAAAAAGGAAATATCTTCCAATAAAAGCTACATAGAAGCATTCTCAGAAACTTATTTGTGATGTGCGCCCTCAACTAACAGTGTTGAAGCTTTCTTTTGATAGAGCAGTTTTGAAACACTCTTTTTGTGGAATCTGCAAGTGGATATTTGTCTAGCTTTGAGGATTTCGTTGGAAACGGGATTATATAAAAAGCAGACAGCAGCATTCTCAGAAACTTATTTGTGATGTGCGCCCTCAACTAACAGTGTTGAAGCTTTATTTTGATAGAGCAGTTTTGAAACACTCTTTTTGTAATATCTGCAAGAGAATATTTGGATAGCTTTGAGGATTTCGTTGGAAACGGGATTGTCTTCATATAAACTCTAGAAAGAAGCATTCTCAGAAGCTTCATTGGGATGTTTCAATTGAAGTCACAGTGCTGAACACTCCCTTTCATAGAGCAGGTTTGAATCACTCTTTTTGTAGTATCTGGAAGTGGACATTTGGAGCGCTCTCAGGACTACGGTGAAAAAGGAAATATCTTCCAATAAAAGCTACATAGAAGCAATGTCAGAAACTTTTTCATGATGTATCTACTCAGCTAACAGCAGTTGAACCTTTCTTTTGAGACAGCAGTTTTGAAACACTCTTTTTGTGGAATCTGGAAGTGGATATTTGTCTAGCTTTGAGGATTTCGTTGGAAACGGGATTACATATAAAAAGCAGACAGCAGCATTCCCAGAAACTTCTTTGTGATGTTTGCATTCAAGTCACAGAGTTGAACATTCCCTTTCATAGAGCAGGTTGGAAACACTCTTTTTGTAGTATCTGGATGTGGACATTTGGAGCGCTTTCAGGCCTATGGTGAAAAAGGAAATATCTTCCCCTGAAAACTAGACAGAAGCATTCTCAGAATCTTATTTGTGATGTGCGCCCTCAACTAACAATGTTGAAGCTTTCTTTTGATAGAGCAGTTTTGAAACACTCTTTTTGTAAAATCTGCAAGAGGATATTTGGATGGCTTTGAGGATTTCTTTGGAAACGGGATTGTCTTCATATAAACTCTAGACAGAAGCATTCTCAGAAGCTTCATTGGGATGTTTCAATTGAAGTCACAGTGTTGAACAGTCCCTTTCATAGAGCAGGTTTGAAACACTCTTTTTGTAGTATCTGGATGTGGACATTTGGAGCGCTTTCAGGCCTACGGTTTAAAAGGAAATATCTTCCCCTGAAAACTAGACAGAAGCATTCTCAGAAACTTATTTGTGATGTGCGCCCTCAACTAACAGTGTTGAAGCTTTCTTTTGATAGAGCAGTTTTGAAACACTCTTTTTGTGGAATCTGCAAGTGGATATTTGTCTAGCTTTGAGGATTTCGTTGGAAACGGGATTACATATAAAAAGCAGACAGCAGCATTCTCAGAAACTTATTTGTGATGTGCGCCCTCAACTAACAGTGTTGAAGCTTTCTTTTGATAGAGCAGTTTTGAAACACTCTTTTTGTAATATCTGCAAGAGGATATTTGGATAGCTTTGAGGATTTCGTTGGAAACGGGATTAATTATACAAAGCAGACAGCAGCATTCTCAGAAGCTTCATTGGGATGTTTCAATTGAAGTCACATGTTGAACAGTTCCTTTCAGAGAACAGGTTTGAAACACTCTTTTTGTAGTATCTGGAAGTGGACATTTGGAGCGCTCTCAGGACTACGGTGAAAAAGGAAATATCTTCCAATAAAAGCTACATAGAAGCAATGTCAGAAACTTTTTCATGATGTATCTACTCAACTAACAGAGTTGACCCTTTCCTTTGAGAGAGCAGTTGGGAAACACTCTTTTTGTGGAATCTGCAAGTGGATATTTGTCTAGCTTTGAGGATTTCGTTGGAAACGGGATTACATATAAAAGGCAGACAGCAGCATTCCCAGTAACTTCTTTGTGGTGTTTGCATTCAAGTCACAGAGTTGAACATTCCCTTTCATAGAGCAGGTTTGAAACACTCTTTTTGTAGTATCTGGATGTGGACATTTGGAGCGCTTTCAGGCCTATGGTGAAAAAGGAAATATCTTCCCCTGAAAACTAGACAGAAGCATTCTCAGAAACTTATTTGTGATGTGCGCCCTCAACTAACAGTGTTAAACCTTTCTTTTGATAGAGTAGTTTTGAAACACTCTTTGTAAAATCTGCAAGAGGATATTTTGATAGCTTTGAGGAATTCTTTGGAAACGGGATTGTCTTCATATAAAATCTAGACAAAAGCATTCTCAGAAGCTTCATTGGGATGTTTCAATTGAAGTCACAGTGTTGAACAGTCCCTTTCATAGAGCAGGTTTGAAACACTCTTTTTGTAGTATCTGGATGTGGACATTTGGAGCGCTTTCAGGCCTATGGTTTATAAGAAAATATCTTCCCCTGAAAACTAGACAGAAGCATTCTCAGAAACTTATTTGTGATGTGCGCCCTCAACTAACAGTGTTGAAGCATTCTTTTGATAGAGCAGTTTTGAAACACTCTTTTTGTGGAATCTGCAAGTGGATATTTGTCTAGCTTTGAGGATTTCGTTGGAAACGGGATTACATATAAAAAGCAGACAGCAGCATTCTCAGAAACTTATTTGTGATGTGCGCCCTCAACTAACAGTGTTGAAGCTTTCTTTTGATAGAGCAGTTTTGAAACACTCTTTTTGTAATATCTGCAAGAGGATATTTGGATAGCTTTGAGGATTTCGTTGGAAACGGGATTAATTATACAAAGCAGACAGCAGCATTCTCAGAAGCTTCATTGGGATGTTTCAATTGAAGTCACAGTGTTGAACAGTCCCTTTCATAGAGCAGGTTTGAAACACTCTTTTTGTAGTATCTGGAAGTGGACATTTGGAGAGATCTCAGGAATACGGGGATAAAGGAAATATCTTCCAATAAAAGCTAGATAGAAGCAATGTCAGAAACTTTTTCATGATGTATCTACTCAGCTAACAGAGTTGAACCTTCCTTTGAGAGAGCAGTTTTGAAACACTCTTTTTGTGGAATCTGCAAGTGGATATTTGTCTAGCTTTAAGGATTTCGTTGGAAACGGGATTACATATAAAAAGCAGACAGCAGCATTCCCAGAAACTTCTTTGTGATGTTTGCATTCAAGTCACAGAGTTGAACATTCCCTTTCATAGAGCAGGTTTGAAACACTCTTTTTGTAGTATCTGGATGTGGACATTTGGAGTGCTTTCAAGCCTATGGTGAAAAAGGAAATATCTTCCCCTGAAAACTAGACAGAAGCATTCTCAGAAACTTATTTGTGATGTGCGCCCTCAACTAACAGTGTTGAACCT
Source organism: Homo sapiens (assembly GCF_000001405.40). NCBI lineage: Eukaryota > Metazoa > Chordata > Mammalia > Primates > Hominidae > Homo > Homo sapiens. The sequence continues at coordinate 93,914,233 of NC_000002.12, forward strand.
TTCTTTTGATAGAGCAGTTTTGAAACACTCTTTTTGTAAAATCTGCAAGAGGATATTTGGATAGATTTGAGGATTTCGTTGGAAACGGGATTGTCTTCATATAAAATGTAGACAGAAGCATTCTCAGAAGCTTCATTGGGATGTTTCAATTGAAGTCACAGTTTTGAACAGTCCCTTTCATAGAGCAGGTTTGAAACACTCTTTTTGTAGTATCTGCAAGTGGACATTTGGAGAGATCTCAGGAATACTGTGACAAAGGAAATATCTTCCAATAAAAGCTAGATAGAAGCAATGTCAGAAAATTTTTCATGATGTATCTACTCAGCTAACAGAGTTGAAACTTTCTTTTGAGAGAGCAGTTTTGAAACACTCTTTTTGTGGAATCTGCAAGTGGATATTTGTCTAGATTTGAGGATTTCGTTGGAAACGGGATTACATATAAAAAGCAGACAGCAGCATTCCCAGAAACTTCTTTGTGATGTTTGCATTCAAGTCACAGAGTTGAACATTCCCTTTCATAGAGCAGGTTTGAAACACTCTTTTTGTAGTATCTGGATGTGGACATTTGGAGCGCTTTCAGGCCTATGGTGAAAAAGGAAATATCTTCCCCTGAAAACTAGACAGAAGCATTCTCAGAATCTTATTTGTGATGTGCGCCCTCAACTAACAATGTTGAAGCTTTCTTTTGATAGAGCAGTTTTGAAACACTCTTTTTGTAAAATCTGCAAGAGGATATTTGGATGGCTTTGAGGATTTCTTTGGAAACGGGATTGTCTTCATATAAACTCTAGACAGAAGCATTCTCAGAAGCGTCATTGGGATGTTTCAATTGAAGTCACAGTGTTGAACAGTCCCTTTCATAGAGCAGGTTTGAAACACTCTTTTTGTAGTATCTGGATGTGGACATTTGGAGCGCTTTCAGGCCTATGGTTTAAAAGGAAATATCTTCCCCTGAAAACTAGACAGAAGCATTCTCAGAAACTTATTTGTGATGTGCGCCCTCAACTAACAGTGTTGAAGCATTCTTTTGATAGAGCAGTTTTGAAACACTCTTTTTGTGGAATCTGCAAGTGGATATTTGTCTAGCTTTGAGGATTTCGTTGGAAACGGGATTACATATAAAAAGCAGACAGCAGCATTCTCAGAATCTTATTTGTGATGTGCGCCCTCAACTAACAGTGTTGAAGGTTTCTTTTGATAGAGCAGTTTTGAAACACTCTTTTTGTAAAATCTGCAAGAGGATATTTTGATAGCTTTGAGGATTTCGTTGGAAACGGGATTGTCTTCATATAAACTCTAGACAGAAGCATTCTCAGAAGCTTCATTGGGATGTTTCAATTGAAGTCACAGTGTTGAACAGTCCCTTTCATAGAGCAGGTTTGAAACACTCTTTTTGTAGTATCTGGAAGTGGACATTTGGAGCGCTCTCAGGACTACGGTGAAAAAGGAAATATCTTCCAATAAAAGCTACATAGAAGCAATGTCAGAAACTTTTTCATGACGTATCTACTCAGCTAACAGAGTTAAACCTTTCTTTTGAGAGAGCAGTTTTGAAACACTCTTTTTGTGGAATCTGCAAGTGGATATTTGTCTAGCTTTGAGGATTTCGTTGGAAACGGGATTACATATAAAAAGCAGACAGCAGCATTCCCAGTAACTTCTTTGTGATGTTTGCATTCAAGTCACAGAGTTGAACATTCCCTTTCATAGAGCAGGTTTGAAACACTCTTTTTGTAGTATCTGGATGTGGACATTTGGAGCGCTTTCAGGCCTATGGTGAAAAAGGAAATATCTTCCCCTGAAAACTAGATAGAAGCATTCTCAGAAACTTATTTGTGATGTGCGCCCTCAACTAACAGTGTTGAACCTTTCTTTTGATAGAGCAGTTTTGAAACACTCTTTTTGTAATATCTGCAAGAGTATATTTGGATAGCTTTGAGGATTTCGTTGGAAATGGGATTGTCTTCATATAAACTCTAGACAGAAGCATTCTCAGAAGCTTCATTGGGATGTTTCAATTGAAGTCACAGTGTTGAACAGTCCCTTTCATAGAGCAGGTTTGAAACACTCTTTTTGTAGTATCTGGATGTGGACATTTAGAGCGCTTTCAGGCCTATGGTGAAAAAGGAAATATCTTCCCCTGAAAACTAGACAGAAGCATTCTCAGAAACTTATTTGTGATGTGCGCCCTCAACTAACAGTGTTGAAGCTTTCTTTTGATAGAGCAGTTTTGAAACACTCTTTTTGTAATATCTGCAAGAGGATATTTGGATAGCTTTGAGGATTTCGTTGGAAACGGGATTAATTATAAAAAGCAGACAGCAGCATTCTCAGAAACTTATTTGTGATGTGCGCCCTCAACTAACAGTGTTGAAGCTTTCTTTTGATAGAGCAGTTTTGAAACACTCTTTTTGTAATATCTGCAAGAGGATATTTGGATAGCTTTGAGGATTTCGTTGGAAACGGGATTAATTATACAAAGCAGACAGCAGCATTCTCAGAAGCTTCATTGGGATGTTTCAATTGAAGTCACAGTGTTGAACAGTCCCTTTCATAGAGCAGGTTTGAAACACTCTTTTTGTAGTATCCTGAAGTGGACATTTGGAGAGATCTCCGGAATACGGTGATAAAGGAAATATCTTCCAATAAAAGCTAGATAGAAGCAATGTCAGAAACTTTTTAATGATGTATCTACTCAGCTAACAGAGTTGAACCTTTCTTTTGAGAGAGCAGTTTTGAAACAGTCTTTTTGTGGAATCTGCAAGTGGATATTTGTCTAGCTTTGAGGATTTCGTTGGAAACGGGATTACATATAAAAAGCAGACAGCAGCATTCCCAGTAACTTCTTTGTGATGTTTGCATTCAAGTCACAGAGTTGAACATTCCCTTTCATAGAGCAGGTTTGAAACACTCTTTTTGCAGTATCTGGATGTGGACATTTGGAGCGCTTTCAGGCCTATGGTGAAAAAGGAAATATCTTCCCCTGAAAACTAGACAGAAGCATTCTCAGAATCTTATTTGTGATGTGCGCCCTCAACTAACAGTGTTGAAGCTTTCTTTTGATAGAGCAGTTTTGAAACACTCTTTTTGTAAAATCTGCAAGAGGATATTTCGATAGCTTTGAGGATTTCATTGGAAACGGGATTGTCTTCATATAAACTCTAGACAGAAGAATTCTCAGAAGCTTCATTGGGATGTTTCAATTGAAGTCACAGTGTTGAACAGTCCCTTTCATAGAGCAGGTTTGAAACACTCTTTTTGTAGTATCTGGATGTGGACATTTGGAGCTTTTGCAGGCCTATAGTTTAAAAGGAAATATCTTCCCCTGAAAACTAGACAGAAGCATTCTCAGAAACTTATTTGTGATGTGCGCCCTCAACCAACAGTGTTGAAGCTTTCTTTTGACAGAGCAGTTTTGAAACACTCTTTTTGTGGAATCTGCAAGTGGATATTTGTCTAGCTTTGAGGATTTCGTTGGAAACGGGATTACATATAAAAAGCAGACAGCAGCATTCTCAGTAAACTTATTTGTGATGTGCGCCCTCAACTAACAGTGTTGAACCTTTCTTTTGATAGAGCAGTTTTGAAACACTCTTTTTGTAATATCTGCAAGAGGATATTTGGATAGCTTTGAGGATTTCGTTGGAAACGGGATTGTCTTCATATAAACTCTAGACAGAAGCATTCTCAGTAAATTTCTTTGGGATGTTTCAATTGAAGTCACAGTGTTGAACATTCCCTGTCATAGAGCAGGTTTGAAACACTCTTTTTGTAGTATCTGGAAGTGGACATTTGGAGCGCTCTCAGGACTACGGTGAAAAAGGAAATATCTTCCAATAAAAGCAAGATAGAAGCAATGTCAGAAAATTTTTCATGATGTATCTACTCAGCTAACAGAGTTGAACCTTTCTTTTGAGAGAGCAGTTTTGAAACACTCTTTTTGTGGAATCTGCAAGTGGATATTTGTCTAGCTTTGAGGATTTCGTTGGAAACGGGATTACATATAAAAAGCAGACAGCAGCATTCCCAGTAACTTCTTTGTGATGTTTGCATTCAAGTCACAGAGTTGAACATTCCCTTTCATAGAGCAGGTTTGAAACACTCTTTTTATAGTATCTGGATGTGGACATTTGGAGCGCTTTCAGGCCTATGGGGAAAAAGGAAATATCTTCCTCTGAAAACTAGACAGAAGCATTCTCAGAAACTTATTTGTGATGTGCGCCCTCAACTAACAGTGTTGAACCTTTCTTTTGATAGAGCAGTTTTGAAACACTCTTTTTGTAATATCTGCAAGAGGATATTTGGATAGATTTGAGGATTTCGTTGGAAACGGGATTGTCTTCATATAAACTCTAGACAGAAGCATTCTCAGAAGCTTCATTGGGATGTTTCAATTGAAGTCACAGTGTTGAACAGTCCCTTTCATAGAGCAGGTTTGAAACACTCTTTTTGTAGTATCTGGATGTGGACATTTCGAGCGCTTTCAGGCCTATGGTGAAAAAGGAAATATCTTCCCCTGAAAACTAGACAGAAGCATTCTCAGAAACTTATTTGTGATGTGCGCCCTCAACTAACAGTGTTGAAGCTTTCTTTTGATAGAGCAGTTTTGAAACACTCTTTTTGTGGAATCTGCTAGAGGATATTTGTCTAGCTTTGAGGATTTCGTTGGAAACGGGATTACATATAAAAAGCAGACAGCAGCATTCTCAGCAAACTTATTTGTGATGTGCGCCCTCAACTAACAGTGTGGAACTTTTCTTTTGATAGAGCAGTTTTGAAACACTCTTTTTGTAAAATCTGCAAGAGGATATTTGGATAGCTTTGAGGATTTCGTTGGAAACGGGATTGTCTTCATATAGAATCTAGACAGAAGCATTCTCAGAAGCTTCATTGGGATGTTTCAATTGAAGTCACAGTGTTGAACAGTCCCTTTCATAGAGCAGGTTTGAAACACTCTTTTTGTAGTATCTGGAAGTGGACATTTGGAGTGATCTCAGGAATACGGTGATAAAGGAAATATCTTCCAATAAAAGCTAGATAGAAGCAATGTCAAAAACTTTTTCATGATGTATCTACTCAGCTAACAGAGTTGAACCTTTCCTTTGAGAGAGCAGTTTTGAAACTCTCTTTTTGTGGAATCTGCAAGTGGATATTTGTCTAGCTTTGAGGATTTCGTTGGAAACGGGATTACATATAAAAAGCAGACAGCAGCATTCCCAGTAACTTCTTTGTGATGTTTGCATTCAAGTCACAGAGTTGAACATTCCCTTTCATAGAGCAGGTTTGAAACACTCTTTTTGTAGTATCTGGATGTGGACATTTGGAGCGCTTTCAGGTCTATGGTGAAAAAGGAAATATCTTCCCCTGAAAACTAGACAGAAGAATTCTCAGAATCTTATTTGTGATGTGCGCCCTCAACTAACAGTGTTGAAGCTTTCTTTTGATAGAGCAGTTTTGAAACACTCTTTTCGTAAAATCTGCAAGAGGATATTTGGATAGCTTTGAGGATTTCGTTGGAAACGGGATTGTCTTCATATAAACTCTAGACAGAAGCATTCTCAGAAGCGTCATTGGGATGTTTCAATTGAAGTCACAGTGTTGAACAGTCCCTTTCATAGAGCAGGTTTGAAACACTCTTTTTGTAGTATCTCGATGTGGACATTTGGAGCGCTTTCAGGCCTATGGTTTAAAAGGAAATATCTTCCCCTGAAAACTAGACAGAAGCATTCTCAGAAACTTATTTGTGATGTGCGCCTTCAACTAACAGTGTTGAAGCATTCTTTTGATAGAGCAGTTTTGAAACACTATTTTGTGGAATCTGCAAGTGGATATTTGTCTAGCTTTGAGGATTTCGTTGGAAACGGGATTACATATAAAAAGCAGACAGCAGCATTCTCAGAAACTTATTTGTGATGTGCGCCCTCAACTAACAGTGTTGAAGCTTTCTTTTGATAGAGCAGTTTTGAAACACTCTTTTTGTAATATCTGCAAGAGGATATTTGGATAGCTTTGAGGATTTCGTTGGAAACGGGATTAATTATACAAAGCAGACAGCAGCATTCTCAGAAGCTTCATTGGGATGTTTAAATTGAAGTCACAGTGTTGAACAGTCCCTTTCATAGAGCAGGTTTGAAACACTCTTTTTGTAGTATCTGGAAGTGGACATTTGGAGAGTTCTCAGGAATACGGTGAAAAAGGAAATATCTTCCAATAAAAGCTAGATAGAAGCAATGTCAGAAACTTTTTCATGATGTATCTACTCAGCTAACAGAGTTGAACCTTTCTTTTGAGAGAGCAGTTTTGAAACACTCTTTTTGTGGAATCTGCAAGTGGATATTTGTCTAGCATTGAGGATTTCGTTGGAAACGGGATTACATATAAAAAGCAGACAGCAGCATTCCCAGAAACTTCTTTGTGATGTTTGCATTCAAGTCACAGAGTTGAACATTCCCTTTCATAGAGCAGGTTTGAAACACTCTTTTTGTAGTTTCTGGATGTGGACATTTGGAGCGCTTTCAGGCCTATGGTGAAAAAGGAAATATCTTCCCCTGAAAACTAGACAGAAGCATTCTCAGAAACTTATTTGTGATGTGCGCCCTCAACTAACAGTGTTGAACCTTTCTTTTAATAGAGCAGTTTTGAAACACTCTTTTTGTAATATCTGCAAGAGGATATTTGGATAGCTTTGAGGATTTCGTTGGAAACCGGGATTGTCTTCATAAAAACTCTAGACAGAAGCATTCCCAGTAACTTCTTTGTGATGTTTGCATTCAAGTCACAGAGTTGAACATTCCCTTTCATAGAGCAGGTTTGAAACACTCTTTTTGTAGTATCTGGATGTGGACATTTGGAGCGCTTTCATTCCTATGGTGAAAAAGGATATATCTTCCCCTGAAAACTAGACAGAAGCATTCTCAGAAACTTACTTGTGATGTGCGCCCTCAACTAACAGTGTTGAACCTTTCTTTTGATAGAGCAGTTTTGAAACACTCTTTTTGTAATATCTGCAAGAGGATATTTGGATAGCTTTCAGGATTTCGTTGGAAACGGGATTACATATAAAAAGCAGACAGCTAAGCATTCTCCGAAACTTATTTGTGATGGGCGCCCTCAACTAACAGTGTTGAAGCTTTCTTTTGATAGAGCAGTTTTGAAACACTCTTTTTGTAATATCTGCAAGAGGATATTTGGATAGCTTTCAGGATTTCGTTGGAAACGGGATTGTCTTCATATAAACTCTAGACATATCTATCTAGCTTTTATTGGAAGATATTTCCTTTTTCACCGTATTCCTGAGAACTCTCCAAATGTCCACTTCCAGATACTACAAAAAAGGTGCTGGAGAGGATGCGGAGAAATAGGAACACTTTTACACTGTTGGTGGGACTTTAAACTAGTTCAACCATTGTGGAAGTCAGTGTGGCGATTCCTCAGGGATCTAGAACTAGAAATACCATTTGACCCAGCCCTCCCATTACTGGG